>NC_000022.11:36588351-36739867 GCF_000001405.40 Homo sapiens | reverse complement strand
GCACAGGGAGCCAGCAGGGATTTCATCAAGTCCTGAAGGAAGGATGGGACTTGAGCAGGATGGATTTCAGAATTGCTCTGGACCAGTGACTCCTGTGTGTCTCCTGCTCCTCCGCTTTTAGTTTGGGGGTGCCTATGGTGTTAATAGTTTTCCTATGCCTGAACCACCATTGTGGAGTAGGAGGGGGAGGGCAGATAACTCATTTCTTTAGCTCACAGGTCTTCCCATTGAATGAAGTGGCACTCAAGGAGCTGTACCCAAGAAAGGCCACCTGAGGAGATGCATTCCCACCTGCACCTGGCTGGCTCCTGGCCTTTGAGCGGCTGCCATACAGATCTCAAGGGAAAGGAATGAATAGGTTTTGCATGTGGGGCATGTATTCCTCTGCTAGGACTGCCATAGCAAAATTCTACAGCCTGGGTGGCTAAACCAACAGGAATTTATTCTCTTGCTGTTCTGGAGGCTGGAAGTCCAAGATCAAGGTGTCAGCAGGGTTGGTTTCTTCTGAGGTCTCTCTCTGGCTTAGAGTTGGCTGCTTCCTCCCTGTGTCTTCCCACAGTCTTGCTTCTGTGTGTGTCTGTGTCCCAGTCTTTTTTAATAAGGACAACAGTCATATTGGATTAGGGCCCATGATAATGACCTCATTGTCATTTAATCACCTCTTTAATGAACCTGTCTTCAAATACAGTCACATTCTAAGGTACTGGGATTAGGGCTTCAACATATGAATTTTTGGGGAGACAGAGTTCAGCTCATAATAGGGGTGGGTATGAATCATCGTGAATAGCTGTGGCCAGAAGGCAAATTGCGGCAGATGGTATTTTCCAAAGATGCTCCCACATGCTCATCCTGCAAGTGACCCTGCCAGTCCTCCATCAAGAGGTGGGGTCTGTGTCCCCTCCCCTTCAACCTGGATGGATCTCTATGACTGCCTGAGAGCCGAGCAGTACTCCTAAGAGAATACAACTGCAGCGACGCTATGTGACTTCTGACAGTAGGTCAGAAAAGGCACCACAGCCCCTTAGAACCCAGTCACCATGCAGTAAGGGAGCCCAGAACACATGGTGATGGGCACATAGGAGTTTCAGCTGCCAGCTCCAGGTGAGCTCCCAGCCCCCGGACACATGAGGGAGGAGGCCTTCAAACCAGCTTCAGCCCCAGCCCCTAGCCCTCAGCCCCCATCTAACCGTGACTGAGTGAAAGACCCTGGCGAGAACTACATGGCTGAGCTCAGTCAACCTCCCCATGCATGAGAGATGTAATCACAAATGATTGGTGTTGGTTTGCACCCAGTAAGTTTGGGGTGGTTTGCAATGCAGCAAGAATAACTGATACACTGGAGGGGTGAATATGAGCCAGAAAGAAGGAAGGAGGCAAAGATGGGAGGAAAGAAGAACTCTAAGTGTTGCAGGTCAGGGACTTTGTCTTATTCACTGGAGTCCTGGCACATACTAAGTGCTCAGTGAAACCTTGTTGAATAGTGAATTAGTGAAGGGAGACAGAGGGATGGCAATTTTGAGTGCACTGAGTTTTTTTTACTGCACATTTGGAGACAAAATGTCCAAATGTGCATTTGTCCAAATGTGCATCTCCAGGATGGACCCGGGAGAGACTATACATTCCCAGACAGAACCCTTGGCTGTCCAAGAGCCTCTGAGGGCACAGTTGAAGAGGAGAGACAATGGAGTCAATGGGTTTGACCTGGGCCTTAGGGGAACAGTTTGCTCCTGAGCAACCAGCAGCCACCCTCCTAGGACTGAAAACTCCCAGCAGGGCAGGGCATGGCAGGGCAGGGCAGGGCAGGGCAGGGCAGGGCAGAGCAGGGCAGGTGTGGAGTCTAGAAAAGAACTTGCCTCAAAGCCGGGCCTCTGAGGGCTGGACATGCCTGGCCCAAGGCAAGAACACCAACCAGTTTTCAAGGGCCGGTCCAGTCGTCATCCAACCGCCCCCGCCCCCAGCTGTCACTTGGGTGTGCCTTGAATTGCTTTCTGTCTTACCCGTCAGCCCTTCCTTCCCAACTCTCCAGCCTTCAGCCTTGGTATATTCCTGGGTTGTTTCACTTCCTCTGCTTCTATTTTCAGCAAACAGCCCAATCTCATTTAGGGGGCAGGCAGAAGAATCAGTTTTATTTGCTTTTCATTTATTTTCTTCCTTTCATCCCATTCTTCTCCTTTTAACGAATTTCCTTCCGGGACTCTTTAATGTTCTTTATAAGGCTTCCACTGTTCTTGTTAGAATTCTAGTCCCGCTCCCTAATATCTCCCCTGGGCTCTTTTGCTAATTTTTCTTCTCTCCGTGTGTTGCTCTCATTCCTCTTCTTTGCCACTTTGTCCCTCTCTTTCTCATCTCATCTGCCCTCATGCCTTCAAGTTCTTGAGTATCTGCCTTACCCCCTTCCCCTCCACAAATTCCTCCCTCCTTTTTACCTCCTTCTCTCTGCTTCTCCTCCTCAAACTGGGTTGTGAATGTTGTCCGCCTCGGAGCAGGACACACTGTAAGGCTGAGGCTCCCCGAGGGCCAGGTTGTGATCATTTTATTTTTACAACGTCCTTGGATAGGTGGAAGTGCTTGTGCAGGGTGGGATTTGATGCTGGCTGGGAGGGGACCAAGACGGCTAATAGCACTTGTGATTAATATAGGTCAGTTGTCGCGCTGTGTCCCAGTGGTCCCGGTGAGAGGAGAACCTTGTCATCTGGGGCCCATTTTTGCAGAGGTGGCCTCGGTGCTGTCTAGGGGAAGTTGGGACTGTGGCAGGCGAGGGAGATAGGCCGGCTGCTCTTCTGGAACCAGACGGGTGGTGCAAGAGGCTCTCCCTCCTCCTGCACCTCCTTGGGGCCTGGGAATACAGGAGGGGCCCTCACGAGGGCACTTCTCCTTCCTACACACTGGATCCTGGGGCTGCACCCTTTCTAGCACAAGAATGGAATGGCAGGATGAGGCATGCTGGGGAAACAGCAGCAAACACCTCTGCTCGTTCCACTAAAAGTGTTGAGTGCCCTTTTGGTGCCAGGCACTGTGCTGGGGATGGGGACTTGACAGTGAGCAGAGCAGACATGGTGCCTGCCCTCATGGAGCTTACATTCTAAGAGGGAGACAGACATTAAAAAACAAACAAGTAAAAATGCAATGGCAAATCATGCAGAGTGAAAGAGATGGCATGCTGTGGGAGGGAAACCCAGGGAACCTAATTTAGAGGAGCAGAAAGATGCATTTCTGAGAAAATGATATTTCTCATGCAATCTGAAGCAGAAACAGGTGTTGCCCAGTTGAAGAGCATGAGAGAGGTATGTTCCAAGCAGAGTAGAAAGCATGTGCATAGGACTTGGAACAAGAAAAATCACAGAGTGGGCCAGGCGCGGTGGCTCCCACCTGTAATCCCAGCACTTTGGGAGGTCGAGGTGGGCGGATCACGAGGTCAGGAGTTCGAGACCAGCCTGGCCAACACAGTGAAACCTCATCTCTACTAAAAATATAAAAAATTAGCCAGGCGTGGTGGTGGGCGCCTGCAACCCCAGCTACTCAGGAGACTGAGGCAGGAGAATCACTTGAATCTGGGAGGCGGAGGTTGCAGTGAGCCGAGATCGTGCCATTGTACTCCAGCCCAGGTAACAGTGCAAGACTCCATCTCAAAAAAAAAAAAAAAAAAAAAGCACAGGGTGACAAAAAGATGAAAAGGTGGCCAGGGGCTGAAAAGAAGCTAAGGGACAGGGTCAGGTGGCAAGACATAGGGAGAGCTTGCTCACACAAGGTGTCAGGAATGCATGTGAACCCATTTAAGGGTTTCAAGCAAGGAAGTACTGTGATCTGATTTCTGTTTCAAAAACTTCCTTGGCTGCTGTGCAGAGAAGAGGCTTCAGAACAGATTAAGCCGTAGAAGACCCCTAAGGAGCATCTGAGTGGGAGATTGCAGCAGCTTAAACAGAGAAAATGCTGGCCAGGTGCAGTGGCTCCTGGACTCTTTGCTTCTCCTGGACACCAGACTCTTGAGGTCCCTTCCACCTCTCTGTTTTCTCCCTCCCACCTCCCATCCTCTGCTCATCCCATAAACATCTGTGAGCCTTGGGACTCCTTTCCTCACCCCTTCTCTACTCACCCAACACACTTTTCCTGAGCAATTCTCTTTTCATGCCCATGATTGCAGTTACCGCCAGGACTAGTTTGGGTAATTCTAGGAACAGATAAACCCCCAAAGCTCAGTGGCTTAACGCAGTACAAATTCCTCTCTCCCTTACATAAAGTCCATTCAGTAGCAAAAGGAAAGAAGGGGGTCTCTCAGCACTTTGGGAGGCCAAGGCAGGAGTATCATTTGAGCCCAGGAGTTTGAGACCAGGCTGGGCAATGTAGCAAGACACTGTCTCTACAAAAAAATTAAAATTCAAAAATTAGCGGGGCATGGTGGTGCACACCTGGAGTCCCAGCTACTCAGGAGGCCAAGGTGGTGGGATCTCTTGAGGCTGGTAAGTCGAGTGTGGCAATGGGTCATGATGGCACCACTGCACTCTAGTCTGGGTGACAGAGTGAGACTCACCTCTGTAACCCTGGCACTTTGGGAGGCCGAGGCGGGCAGATCACCTGAGGATGGGAGTTCAAGACCAGCCTGGCCAACATGTCAAGACCCCATCTCTACTAAAAATACAAAATTAGCCAGGTGTGGTGGCGCATGCCTGTAATCCCAGCTACTCGGGAGGCTGAGGCAGGAGAATCACTTGAACCTGGGAGGTAGAGGTCGTGGTGAGCTGAGATTGTGCCATTGCACTCTAGCCTGGGCAACAAGAGCAAAACTCCATCAAAAAAAAAAAAAAAAAAAAGGAAGGAAAGAAAATGTTGAGCTCTTGGCAGTTTATGAATTCCTCTCCCTTGACATTGGGAGAGCAGCGTGATTACGACCATTCGACAGATGAGAAAACTGAGTCTTCAAGAGGTTACAGTGGTTTGCACAACATGACTCATTTAGTAAGTGCTGGCTGTGGACTGTGAGCCCAGGTGTTCCAATTCCCAGGCCCTGCCTCCTTCCTTTCTGTGATATGGTCTTAGGAGAGTTAAAGAAGTGGGTCAAGAGAGAGCTCAAAAATAAGCCACTGGGCGTTTGAAGTGTGCATGCTTTGGGCTTCCTCTTTCTTGTTGTGCTTTTATTGAAATTTTGAAATCTTAAGCTTCCTAAGTCTTGGTTTCCTAACCTGTGAGATGGGAACGATGACTGCTGCCCACTTCCTGGGCTACTGTGAGACTTAAACAATGGTAGATGTAAAGCACTTAAGAGAATGTCTGGCACACAGTAGGTGCTCAATCAATGTCAGTCTTCCTTCCCTTTGAAGAGGACAGAGGATCCAGCCTGTCTGGCTTTGAGAGCTGGTGACATATGCCCACTGTCATGCAGTTGACTGTGGGTGATGGATTTGACCATCAGCCCTGCTGCAGCCCCAGCACAGGCTCTGAGAGCCAGCCAGAAGGCTGAGTCAGTTCTCTGGGTGAGTTCCCATGCTCTGGCCACGAATTTATGTAGGAGGATCCAGTCACACAGCTGCCTTCTGGCCGGGATGTCCCTGCACAGTCCCCAGCAGCAAGGCCTCCCTGAGAACATGGCTTGCGATGGGGCCTGATTCCGTCTCCTTCTAGCCACATCCCCAACTCCTGGGTTCAGCCAACTGGCAGGTGTTTCCTGGCTCAGGAAATGCGAGAGAAAGAAGCCTGTCCCTGCCCACCTAGAACTCCCTTGTCAGCATCGTCATTTGTCTGTGCTCTCATGGGGCCTCACAACAGAGTCTCAAGGTGGGTGGCATGCTCTTCCTCTGGACAGATGAAGAAAAGGATGCTCAGAGAGGTAGGGTGACTATTCCCCGGTGATAGGATGGTAAGTGGACAGGCTCCCCCAACCCTGCTCTTGTCCAATGTGCGCACAGATTCAGGGTCAATGACGGCCAAGTGAATTGAGCCTGCATCCCTTGATGACCAGAGGGAGCCAAGCCCCCTTCTCTCTTCTTGCTACTGAATGGACTTTGTGTAAGGGAGAGAGAAATTTGTACTGTGTTAAGCCACTGAGCTTTGGGGGTTTATCTGTTTCTAGAATTACCCAAACTAGTCCTGGTGGTAACTGCAGAATGAAAAGAGAATTGCTCAGGAAAAGTGTGTAGGGTGACTAGAGAAGGGATGAGGGAAGGAGTCCCGAGGCTCATAGATGTTTATGGGATGAGCAGAGGACAGGAGGTGGGAAGGAGAAAACAGAGAGTTGGTAGGGACCCCAAGAGTGTGGCGTCACATCAGCCAAGGTAAACAGGGGGTTGGAGAAGGGAAGAGGGGTCAAAATGCCCAAGGCTACCCAGAACTCCAGTGACTTAGATCTGAATGTGTCCATTGTATTAGTAACATAGAAGTACCCGGTGCCCCGGCTAAGATGGGTTTACTGGGGGGATGGGGCAGAAATAAGATGACTCCAGCTTCAGAAAGTGGGTCTGAGGATAGACAATGGCTGCAGGCCTGGTTTGAAAGCCTGGGCTGCAGAGGGCCATAGAGCTGCTGGAGGGTTTAGGGCACTTCTTTTAAGAAGACAGAGTCTGGGGCATGTTTATAGCCAGGGAGGAAGAGCCAGGAGGAGGAGGAGGAGGCACTCAAGACGCAGGGCTTCATTTTTGCCCTATCTATGCTTTTCATCTCAGCCTGTCTCAAATCCTATTTGAAAATAGAGTATAAATAAATGATCAAATAATAAGACAGTGTTCATTCCCCGCCAGCCAGTGACCTTGAAAGGGTCTTCACAACTGTCTTTGTTCTCTCCTGGCTTGTGTCAGATTTACTCTGTCTTCCCCAACAAACACTGACTGGGCACCTGCCCTGTGCCAAGCCCCAGGCTCAGGATACAGAGCAAGAGCCAAGCCTCTGCCCTCAAGGAGCTCACAGTCTGATGGTGCAATGGACACAGAGCCATGACCCAGGGGGACACTGGGACCCATACACTGAGAAATGCCATAGGTATGTCACTGCAGGAAAGGAAGAAGGGATTAAGTGTTTCCCAGGACTGAGGAGGGTGGGAGTGTCCTGGAGGGCCTCAGGGAAGAGGCAACACCTTAGCAGGGCTTTGAATGACACCCAAGAGTCCACTGGGCAGAAAAAGGCACAGCATGTGCAAAGGCCCTGAGGTGTGACAGAGCAGGAGCCTATAAGGGCTTTGGCATGGGTGGAGCCCAAAGGTGAGAACAGCAGCCGAGCCAACAGCTTACACTGCAGGGTCATTTTTGTTTTCTGCAGACTCTAATGATACTGTGTACAAGGGCATGAAATGATGCTCTGTGGCTCCAGTGTCAGGGAGAAATTTGAGGATCCAAGGAAAACTACTGGGGATTCATCCACAGGGTGTCCACTGCGTGCAAGGCAGTGCTCCAGAAGCTTGTGACATGTGGGGAACAAAACAGGCAAAGAGTTTCACCCTGGGGGAGCTGATATAAGTCAGACAAAAACCAGCAATCATAAATCGCCTTCAGCAAATTCTCCTAAAGTAGATACTTAAGTGAAATCCTTCAATAAGGGTATCAGAAGGTGATACTTGGTATGAAACAAAGAAAAAGTAAGACAGCATGAGGGAGAGGAGGGGCATGGGGTGTGAGGTGTGGACAATTCAACCTTAGTGTGGTCAGGGAAGAAGAAGCTCACTGAGCAGACTCGCAGGAGATAAGGAAGTGAGCCATGTGCGTAGCAAGAGGGAGGAGGGAGCGGCTGGTGCAAAGGCCCTGCGGCAAGAGCCAGCCTGGCGTGGGGGGTGACTGCAAGGGACCAGTGTGGCTGAGCAGAGCAGGCAGGAGAGAGCTGTGGGACCTGAGTCCAGATCAGGAGGGTCCTGGGGGCCCTTATACCTTTGGCTTTTACCCTGAGCAAAATGGAAGTCACAACCTAGGCTTGAGCAGATAGGGGACACAGTCTGACTCCTGTCTTCAAAGGATCATCCAGTCTCTGTGTTGGGAAGGGATGAAGGTGGGGCCAGTGTAGGAGCTGGGAGCAGGGTAGGAAGATAATGGGGTAATCCAGGCAAGAAAGGATGGTGGCTCAGACTAGGGTGGAGGTGGTAGAAGGGAAAGAGGGGATCAATTCCTGACCCATGCATGATTTCCAAATGGATGAGATGTGGGCAAGAGAGAAAGAGAGGAAGCCAGGGATGACTGCAGGGCTTTGGACTGAGCATGAGGAGGATGGAGTTGCCAGCCTGTGAGGTGAAGGAAGTTGCTTGAGTAGCAGGGTCGGGGAGTGAGGGAGCCCAAGAGTATGGATGTGTGGGGCTTGAGGTGTCTTCCAGCCATCCCTGTGAGGTGTCAAGAAGGCTGTTGGAGAAGCCAGTCTAGGATGCAGAAGCCAGCTGTACTGGAGATAGAAATCAGGGAGTTGGCAGGGCACAGTGGCTCATGCCTGTAATCCCAGCAGTTTGAGAGGCCGAGGCGGTCGGATCATTTGAGGTTAGGAGTTCAAAACCAGCCTGGCCAACATGGTGAAACCCCATCTCTACTAACAATACAAAAATTAGCCGGGCATGGTGGCGCATGCCTGTAGTCCTACTACTTGGAGGGCTGAGGCAGGAGAATCACTTGAACCCGGGAGGCAGAGGTGGCAGTGACCTGAGATTGCGCCATTGCACTCCAGTTTGGGAGACAAGAATGAAACTCTGTCTCAAAAAAACAAAAAACACCTGTAGTCCCAGCTACTCGGGAGGCTGAGGCAGGAGAATGGCGTGAACCCGGGAGGCGGAGCTTGCAGTGAGCCGAGATCGCGCCACTGCACTCCAGCCTGGGCGACAGAGCGAGACTCCGTCTCAAAAAAAAAAAAAAAAATAAAAAAAAATAAAAAAAAACAAAAAACAAACAAAAAAAACCCACAAACAAACAAAAAAACAGAAATCTGGGAGTTATTGATGTGTAGCCAGCATGCGTGAGGATGTTCCCATTTGTCCCCAAGGATCTAGACATGACACAGGGAGGAGGAGGTGAAGGCCCTGTAATATAATAGAGTCAGGAATATTTTGTAAAGAGCACCATCAAAGCCATATTAATAGGAGGACTGTGTGTGTTTCTCATGTCGATCAAGCTGTGCTGTCTTGGAAAATCAAATACTTTCGTGTTTACCTTGAAGTAAATCTAAAGAAACCAGCCAGTGCCACTGCTGAAGTTGAGACACCAAGTTGAACCCAAGCACCTTCCATGTTTTCCCAGCAACGTCCCTCGGCCTCAATTTACTCGTCCATAAAATGGGCACAAGTCTCCCCATAAGAATGCTGGGAAAAACAAACAGTGACAATGTTTGATGCTGTGGCTTTTATGATTAGGATTGCCCTTACTATCGTTAAAGGGCCGGGCACGTAGTAGGTGCTCAGAACGATAACGATCTTCATACTTCATAACACCAGTTGGGGAGGATGGCGAGTCCAGCCCTTCCTGGCTGGGGCCCCTGGAACACAGCACAGGCAGCAGCTGCCAGCTGGTCACATGGTCAATTAATGCCAGCTGTGGTGAGCGCCCATCTGACGCCGCACGAGCATCTGCCTGGTAGGAACCGAACCCAGACCTGTGAGCTCAGGCTTCATGGGGATCCCAACAGCCCCAAGGCCTGGGAGGGCCAGACCTGGCCACACACCCCAGCCTGGACCCCGACGTGAACTGGAGCCCAAGACGAGAAGAGTAATAAGAATGGCAGAGTCATTTGTTGAGAGCCAGGCCCTGTTCTAAGTGCCTTAAATGTCATAATTCATCAATACACAGAGAACAAAGGGGTTCCCAGCAGGCAAAGAGCAGGGTCCCCCAACACCATGCTTAGGGTACCAGAGAGGATTATTTGATTACAAACAATGGAAACCAACTGTGGCTGACTAAAGCAAATAAAATAGGGAGGCCGGGTGCGGTGGCTCACACCTGTAATCCCAACAATTTGGGAGGCCGAGGTGGGAGGATCACTTGAGGCCAGGAATTCAAGACCAGCCTGGGCAACATTTAAAAAAAAAGTTTTTTAATTAGCTGGCTATGGTGGTGCATGCTTGTAGTCCCAGCTACTCAGGAGGGCTGAGGCAGGAAGATTGCTTGAGCCCAGGAGTTTGAGGTAGGAGTGAGCTATGATCACGTCACTGCACTCCAGCCTGGGCAATAGAGCAAAACTTCCCATCTATAAATAAATAAATAGATAGATAGATAGATAGATAGATAGATAGATAGATAGATAAAATAGGGGTGGGGGGTTTTATTTGGAGGATATTGGCTAGTCCACCGCATGGGATCTGAAAACGAGGACCTGAAAATGGGCAGGAACTGCAGCAGCTCCCAAGCCTGGGAAGCTGGAGCTACTCGATGGCCTCGTCGGTCCAGGGCTGGAATGACTGCTCTTTGCTGTTTGCTTCTCTCTCTTTGGGGATGGGGTGCTTGTCCCTGTTGCTGTCTGTTCCTGGCTCAGGGTCCAGGACAGAGGGTCTGATGAGCTCAGTTTAGGTCAGTGTCTAAGGGAGGGCAGGAAGCCTTAATGGACTGGGCCCCAAGACTGCACCCGATGAGGAAGAAGCGATGGCTCTAAAAGACATTAGGGTGCTGGAACCAGAAGGAGGAGGAATAGACTCTGGGTGACCCTAAATAACAAACATCCGTGACTCCTGGGTCTCTGAAGACAAGCAGACCCAGATCCAAATCCCGATTCTGCCACTAGCTGCCCATGTAAACTTGGACAAGTTCTTTTGTGTCTGAGCCTTCGTTTCCTCATCTGTAAAATGAGGATAATGAAACCTGCTGTGAGTGTCCTGAGAAGGCACTGTCCGGGGGCTCTGTGAATAGGACTGCGTGTAACAGGATGCCAGGAGGTCCTGGGGGCTCCTCCTACCCCAGCTTCCCTCTTAAAGGGCTCTGAAGGGGCTCCAAAATTTCACTGGGAAGAACAAAGTTACTAAATCCTCCAGAGCCATCTCAAAGAAGGTGTCATTCTTGGAGTCCTAGGATTTTCTATAGCTCCAGTGACAAGAGACACCAAACGATAGGGCAGCATTTACCAGGGAGAGATGCAAGAGAGGTGTTGAGGGAAGCAGGCAGAGTGCCCCGCTGCCTTTCTATGAGCCCAGGAGCGCCCGACACCTAATCTCACCTGCCCCTCCCCAGGTCAGGCACCATGAGCATGTCTCCAACCACTCTGAGCCATTAAGCCTGCAATGCACCCTGAGCCACCAGGTTTCAACAACCCCATGGTGCATGGAGAAAGCAACAGTGGAGATGGCAGGGCAGAGAGAAGGGTGGCCGCTCTCTGGTGTAGCAAGGACTCACAGGTTTCCTGTGGCTTGGGTGGACATCACAGTAGGTGGTATGGACTTAAGCCAAGGTCCACCTTGCTATCAAGATCAGGGGCTCTGGGAGCCAGAACTGTCCCGCTTGCCTCAGATAATTGGGATAAAAAGGGAGAATTTGAGCCAGAGCTGCGTTTTCCAAGATCCCAAGAACCACACATGCATGCACACATATACATGCATACACTGCTCACACGTGCATACACCTAAGCACACACTGCCTACACAAGCACATGCACACATACACATATGTACGCACACATACACATGCACACATACATGCACACATGTACATGCACATGAGCCCACACAAACATATGTACACATACGCATACGTACATGCCCATACGCACACATGCACACACACGCATGCACACATGTACATGCACACACTGCCCACACATGCACAGGCACACATACACATATGTACATGTCCACACACACATGCACACACATGGACACACACACATGCATGCACACATGTACATGCACACACTACCCACACATACGGGCACACATACACATATGAACATGCCCACACAGGCACAGGCACACACATATACCCCAGAGGGAAGCTCCCAGTTTCATATGAGATTGCCATTTCAAAATGAACAGGATTGAGTCTTAGTAACCAAAATGAGATTGTTATTTTTAATAACTAAAAGTGACTGGAAAGTTACAGAATGAAGTGTCCTAGAGGAAACCAGCTACCCAGCAAGAAAAACGAAGCTCAGCAGAGCACAGGGGAGCAGTTATTAGAAAAAAATAATAAAACAGAACAGAATCTTTTCCTGTTTACCTCACAAGCTGAGGTTCCTCACCCAAACTGGCTCCATTAATTACTATTATCTCCCAGTTCCAGGCTGGGAAGCTTGCTTGGCATCCTCCTAGCACACAGAGGAAGCCTCTATTAATTTGGGAACCTGAAGTTTAAACAAAAAAACGGGTGAGTTGGAGACTTTCTCGCTGCAGCCTATTGCCTTCCTATCACAAAGTGTGTTTGCAGGTGAGTTCACCGGTCTGAAGGATCTGGGAGGAAATTCTAAAACTGTTCAAGGCACAACAACATTCTTCTGCTAACATTCTAATTTCATTCCTCCCCTTCTCCCAGGTGATTCCATTTCCTCCCAAATTAAGATGGAGTATGAGAAGGCACCGAGGAGCTGGAGGCAGGAGCTCCAGACTGGAGGCCAAGTGCTGTCATCTGCAAGCCGTGTGACCCGGGACAAGTCTCTGTCCCACAGATCCCTGCGTCCTCACCTGCAGCGATCATAACACCCAGCTCAATGAGTCCATGTGAAGAAATGAAAAAGACCATATGAGAATGCCTGTGGTGACCTGCTAGACATGTGTGTGATTACCTAGAGGCTAAGGGAGCTCCCTTCGGGTCTGAGTCCCGGGATCACTGTGCCTTAAGCCATGTGACCTTGGGAAAGCCAACTGCTCCCAGGCCTCAGTTTGCTCACCTGTCAAATGGAAGGGATGCTGGCATTTCTGTCAGCAGTGTTGCAGGGATAGGATAGAAGGAGATAAAGCATTGTGAGGCCGAGGCAGGAGGATCACTTGAAGCCAGGAGTTCGAGACCAACCTGGGCAGCATTAGCAAGACCCCCATCTCTACAAAAATAAAAATAAATTAGCCAGGTATAGTGGCGCATGCCTGTAGTCCTGGCTACTTGGGAGGCTGAGGTGGGAGGATCGCTTGAGCCTGGGAGGTTGAGGCTGCAGTGAGCTATGATCACACCATTGCACTCCAGCCTGGGTGACAGAGTGAGACCCTGTCTCAAAAGGAAAAAAGAATGTATCCGACCATTTTAAAACCAAAGCGGAGCACATGGTAATCACAGTCACCAGTATTTGTTTCCCTTAATTGCAACTCCTAAAATCAGGGATCCAAGGGACGTCAAAGACATACCCAGGGTGTTTGACCTCAAACTGGAAATCGTTGTGTTACCCTTTCCCTCTCTCTCTTGGGCCCAGTGGCTCATCTCGTGGGCCCAGCGGCTCATTCTAAATGTAATGTATGTGATTACCTCTAGAAACCTTGTCATGACTCCAGCTGACTACCCCAACACCAGAAATCAGACCCGAGGCTGTCGAAATGGCTCAATCACTCACTCAGGACCAGTGGAGGCAGCTGACAGATTTTAACCCCTCTTCTAAAGAGACAGTAGATTGTCTCCACTTTGGCCTACTAGAGAAGCTTCCAGGGGTTTTTATTTTGTGAGCATCTATTTTGTGCCCATCTTCTACCAGCTAACTTACTCTGCTTAGGAGACCCCTGAGGTAACACCCACCATCACCCTGCTTCCCAGGTGAGGGTGGCACGGTGGCTATTGCAGCAGCGCTGGGATTGGAGCCCAGGTCTGTCTGCCCCAAGCCCACTCCTTCGCCTCCCTGTCCCAGCTTCAGCCACCGCCGGCCACTGAGCTTGCCACCTGCATGACCTTCCCCTCTCCAGGAGAGACTTTGCTCGAAGGACGAGGGACGTGCCACCCAGGCATTTCCTCTGATGACCGCAGGATGAATTTTCCCCATTCACTCATTCTCCTGCCTGTGAATCAAAGCTTGTCTTTTTTTTTTTTTTTCTCTGCCTCCAGCCCTTGAGTTTCCAATTTCACCATTAGCTCATTGAACAGTGGCAGCATTCCCGAGCCTCGTTCAGGAAGACTTCATCTTCCGCAGGACACAGAGGGAGCACAAGAAGGTAGAGCCCGAGGGGACCGGAGCCGAGCCAGAATCGCACCACCGCCCGTGGGGCCGCCCAGAGGCAAAGCCTGGGGCCCGCATGGCTCCCCGGGCTCCCTGTGGCTCTCCGGGCCTCCGTGTGCTCTGTAAACCATGGGTCGGCATCCTAAGCCCAGCAGATGCTGCATGACATATAAACTGTAAAGCGCTAGAGGTACGTGAGGGGTAGGTATGGACTGGGCAGAGGAAGGGGCTTGTACACAGTGAAATGCCGCACCCATGCCAAACAACTTTGCAAATGCCAGGGAGTAATGTCGTGCCCTTCGCGATGCCCAGAGAATGCCCCAGCATGGAGATGAGCCAGGGGGCCCACGAGAGTGAGAGAAAGGGGTAACACAACCGTTCCCAGTTTGAGGCCAAAGACGTTGGGTGTGTCTTTGAGGTCCCTTGGATCCCTGATTTTAGGAGTTGCAATTAAAGGAAACAATACTGATGACTGTGACTACCATGTGCTCTGCTAAGTGCCCCAAATGCTTATCTTCTTCTATCCTATCCCTGCAACACTGCTGATGGAAATGCCAGCATCCCTTCCATTTCACAGACGAGCAAACTGAGGCCTGGGAGCAGGTGGCTTTCCCAAAGTCATATGACTTGGTGCATGGTGATCCTGGGACTCAGACCCCAAGGGAGCCTCCTTAACGTCTAGCTGGTGTGGGGGCAAGCACAGAGCATTGTGTCCCATCCAGGGAAGGGCCCAGGTAATGTGGCTTGTCTCCACCTCCCTTCACCACCACACCTGGCCAAGAGGGGCAGGCCCAAGCCCAGAAGAGCTGTCCCCACTGGACTGTGCCACAGGGTAGGGGGTGCCTGCCGGACACTTGCATCTGGAGGCAAGTGACCCTCAAATCATGCTCAGGCTAAACTGGAAGCAAAGGGGAGACTGCAGATCTCAAGACAATTGGAACATTGAAGAAATTAGGCCAGGCATGGTGGCTCACACCTGTAATTTCAGCACTTTGCGAGGCCGAGGCAGGAGGATCACTTGAGGCCAGGAGTTCGAGACCAACCTGGGCAGCATTAGCAAGACCCCCATCTCTACAAAAATAAAAATAAATTAGCCAGGTGTAGTGGTGCATGCCTGCAGTCCTAGCTACTTGGGAGGCTTAGGTGGGAGGATCACTTGAACCTGGGAAGTTGAGGCTGCAATGAGCTATGATCACACCATTGCACTCCAGCCTGGGTGACAGAGTGAGACCCTGTCTCAAAAGGAAAAAAGAATGTATTTGACCATTTTAAAACTAAAGCCAGTTAGTGTAAGGCATTGTCAGAAATAGTTATACTCCCATTCTTTTGATATCTGTGTGGTTTTATCCATTGATTGAATAATTGATTGAAACAAGATCTTGCTCTGTTGCCCAGGCTGGATTGCAGTGGTGCAATCATAGCTCACTACAGCCTCATATCCCTGGGCTCAAGGGATCCTCCTGCCTCAGCCTCTCAGGTAGCTGGGACTACATGCACACACTACCTCACCCAGCTAATTTTTTTTTTTTCATTTTTGTCTTGTAGAGATGGGGGTCTCACTTTGTTGCCTAAGCTGGCCTCCAACTCCTGGCTCAAGTGATCCTCCTGCCTCAGCCTCCCAAAGTGCTGGGATTGCAGGCATGAGCCACTGTGCCTGGCCTTTTTTGTGGTTTACTATCCCCACATGCTCTCCAAACCCAAGATGTCTTGAGGCCCATCTAGAGAGTCCGAAATCTCCCTGGACTGAAAGTCAGGAAGACCTGGGCTCTTATCTAAGATCTACTAACCCCTACTTGCTGTGTGCCCTTAGGTGAGTTCCGACTGTCTCTGGGCATCAGTTTTCTCATCTGTGAAATGAAGCAATAGACTCACCTGCCTTCTAAATGCCTCCCCACTCAGGCTTTCAGGGAGCCCAGTGGGTTGCATGTCGCAGGTCTGTGGTGCTGAGTGCAAGTCTATATTTTCTTTACAAATATTTATTAAGCACCTACTCTGTCAGCTCCTATAGATGCATAGCCTCAGATTATTAATTCAACCCCATGCAATAGAAATAGAAATGGAGGCATTCTGTCATTCAGAGAAGGAAGCGGAGGTTTCAGCAGGTGAAGTCACTCGCCCTTTGTCTCACAGCGGCATTCAAACACTGGCTCCTGGTCTGAGCCCATTCCATTTCATTCTGCCACCTCCCCACATAAGGAAAGCAGGAAATGGAGGGAAAGGCTGCTTCTCCCTCCACATGGCATCCTATGAGGTGCTACAATTGTTATTCCCATTTCACAGAGCAGGACACTGAAGCACATGCAGGTGCCCAGAGTCACACAGGATCTAAAGCCCCCTGCAGTCATGTAAGCTTAACCATGGGGTTGGCCAGGTGCAGTGGCTCATACCTGTAATCTCAGCACTTTGGGAGGCCGAGGCGGGCGGATCACGAGGTCAGGAGTTTGAAACCAGGCTGACCAACATGGTGAAACCCCGTCTCTACTAAAAGTACAAAAAAATTAGCCGGGCATGGTGGCACACACCTGTAATCCCAGCTACTCAGGAGGCTGAGAGTCAGGAGAATCGCTTGAATCCTGGAGATGGAGGTTGTAGTGAGCCGAGATCACACCACTGCACTCCAGCCTGGGCAACAGAGCAAGATTCTGTCAAAAAAAAAAGAAAGAAAGAAAGCTTAACCACGGGACTGCACTGCTGCCCCCACCTCAAAGCACTCAAAATAGGAGGGGAAGGAGACAGCAGGAAGCTCACAGGTGCCAACCAGTAATTAGGTATGAGACAGCGACACTGTGGAGGCCAAAAGGATCTGAAAAGGGGCTTTGATCCCAGACCAGGACAGCTGGAGGCTGCCTGCAGGGGCAGAGGCATGGAGGATGAACAGGATTCGCTAGGCAGGGGAGGAAGAAGACATCCCACAGAAAGAAACCAGAAAATAGCAGGCACAGAGCCCCTCATCCTGTGTGGGGGACAGTGTGCCACCCGGGTGAAGGATGCAAACTTGGGAAACCTTACTGCACTTCCTGAGGGAGGGGAGAGACCAGGAATGGGGCTGTGGGGACCAGCAAGGTGGGAAGGAATGCCAGCAGCTGACAGTGCAAGGAGGGATGGGGGTGGAGAGATGCTAAGAAATTATAGCACTGTTTCCCAAAGCCAGGTTCCAGTTTTTTGGGTTCTGTGGTCACTTAAGTCTGGAAGCCTGCCTTCTACATCGCTCTCTGGGAGAGTCTTAGGCACAGGAGCCTAGGCAAGGCTTGAAGTGCCGCAGCCATAGAACCTGTTCGGCTGTTTAGTGCAGGTTCTTAAACTTGCTTTGCCACAGAACCCTCATGTGGCCATTTTAATTTTAATTTTGATAACCATATCTAAGATCCAGCGGAACTCACGTGCCACCAGATTAACTACGAGGCAAGTTAACTGTGGAAATGAGTGGATTGAGCAGAAGTGAATCTGTGGTTCCATAGCATATGCCTGCTCATAGTAGGTGCTTAATGAACCTTTACTGGAAAGACCCATGGACAGAGGTGAGCTCACCACCTTCTGGCAAGGTTTGGGGTTCTATGAGAGGCTTCTGCTACCTCCTCCCTCCACTCCTGACCTTTTTACCCATGGGTGTTTATTGACTTTGCTAGGGGCCAGGTGCTTTCTGACTTGCTTTGCTTACAAGAGCTTATCAAATTCACACTACCCTATGAGGCACTGAGAGGGTGAGAAACTGGCCCATGGTCACTCAGCAAAATAAGTGGCAGAGTTTGCATTTTGATCCAAATTTGACTTACTCCAGAACCCCCTTTCTTCATCATTAGATTTTACTGAGTCTCAAAAATCTACCTTTATGCCTTCACCTCTGGCTTAACTGCTCCTGTTAAACATACACATTTGAGGTCTGTGTTATACCAGCAGACATTTACACTTTAGTGTGAATGTATATTTTGAAAAGAGTACCTGAGGTGTGCATATACTACTAAAAATGCCAATATTAATATTACCACTAGTACTGATATTATCACTACCAATGTTTGTTATTTATTGAATACTTACTCCATGCCAGGTACTGTTATTAGCCTGTTAAAGTTATTAAATCATTTAACTATCACAACAGTGTGATAGTTAGGATAATTGTTCAACAAAAATTCACTCCCCTCTGTCTCTCCCTAGGGGCGTACGCTTCTCTCTCCCATTGACCAGCTTTGGCCAATAGGACTTCCCCTTTAATTCTCCTCTTTGCCATCAGAACATGCCTTATGTAGCCGGTGGCCCAAAGAAGATGAAAGACAAATGGAGAAGACCTGTGTTTAATCCACAGCTCAGAGCCAAGCCTAGCAAGCCCCACCTAGATAAGCCAAACCCAAGCCTCCTCCTCCCCAGCCTCTCTCCAGATGCATGAATGAAAAAAACAATAGTTGTTGTTGATGTTACTAAGTCTGGGGGTGGTTTGTTCTATAGCAATAACTGACTAAGACCCACGGGTACTACGAGAACTCCCTGTTTACATATTTAAAAAACTGAGGCACGGGGAGATTCAGTAACTGACATGTGTTCACAAAGCAAGTTAGCGACAGCAAAAATTTGAACCCAACCAGTCTGGTTCCAGCACCTATCATCATACAATAGGGGTGGGGAATCTTAAAGAACAAATCCCAAAAGCTTGTTAACATAACAAACCAAAAGAGGCAAATAACAGCTTCGTTTATGTCCAAAGTCAACAACAGATAGCACCTCCAAGCCAGAACCTGAACATGTTGGGAAAATACCAAGATTGACATGAGCTGAAAGAAGAGGTTTCATTCTCAGTAGAGCTTCAAGGACTCTTCCCAGAGAAGGGGCACAGTTCCACAGAGAGGAGTTCAGAGAGCAGCAGGGCCAGCGCCAGTGGTCATTAACAGTTGTGGAACATGATGAAGTTCATGGCCACCCTCTGGTAAGATGTCACTCATGGTATGTGTCCCCATCCAGCCTCCTGAGGAGGAGAGAAGGAGACAATGGGTCAGGGGAAAAGGAGAGCAAGAAAAGGAGGTAGTTTACATATGAGAGATAGAAGGAAGCTGTCTACCCTGCACTGCGGAATTCCTTTATTAAAAGAACTTTGGTTTGAGCGGGGTGGCTCATGCCTATAATCCCAGCAGTTCAAGAGGCGGAGGTGGGAGGATAGCCTGAGCCCAGGAGTTTGAGACCAGCCTGGGCAACATGGCAAAACTCTGTCTCTACAAAAAAAAAAAAAAAAAAAAAATTAAAAATGAGCCGAGCGTGGTGGCATGTGCCTGTAGTTCCAGCTAGTTGGTAGGTTGAGAAGGGAGGATCCACTTGACACTGGAAGGTTGAGGCTGCAGTGAGCCATGACCTCGCCACTGCACTCCAGTCTGGGAGACAAAGCAAGATTCTGTCTCAAAAAAAGAAAAAAAGAAACCCAACTTCATGAATATCACGTTGTGAGTCCCCTGTGTTTATTTCAGTGTCCTTGATGAGCCAATAGAGTAATCAAGGCACAGAAGAGGGATGTGGCTTACACCAGATAAAATAATACTGAGTAATTTTCTGAGTCAATAGGAATCCAGATCTCTCCAGAGTCCTGGACCAAGCATAGTTTGAGGATGCCATTTGACATCTGAATGTGAGCACTAGAAAGGCCCTTTGGCTTCCTGGGGTCCAAGTTCTGAGAGATGGGGAGATGAGGAGACCCAGAAGGGCCAATGACTGGTCAAAGCCACATGCAAAGCCCACCAGGTTACTCTACGGATTGGAGATATCTGTAGCGATATCTCTTAAAATTTCTATGCCCTCTTGTCTCCCTCGTCACCCCTATGGTTCTCCCACCCTTTCCTCTAACACCCTGAAAAACTTCTCCTGAACCCTAAATAGAGGGCTTCTTGTTCATTTCTTTCTCCTCCTTTCTTTTTGATTCTATATCCCTAAGTTCTTCCAAAAACCTAGTCAAGAATCAAGAAAACCTGATTAGATGACAGCAGGAAAGCAAAGGCCAGGAACACCCATTCATGAATAAATTTGGCTTGCTCTTACCCAAAGAATAAGCTTCAGTTTATAGCCTCTCCTTTTAGTTCACCTAATGTTCCGTCCTCATTCTCTCCTCCCAATACACAGCTTCGGGGTGATTCTACCATAAAGTGAACCAGGCAATTGCTTATGCCCCAAAACCCCACTCATCCACAATTAACACTCCTCAGGCTTGAGTCACGATGGCAGAAGGATGTATTAGTTCCCACATACACACTTCTACTTTACCCAAATAAGTGTGTTTGTGTGAAGGCTACACCACAAATGTGCATATGCAGCTGGGCATCCTTTCAAGGGAAACATGGTGCTCAGGGATGTTTTATCTAGAGAATCCATTGAACTTGACATTGTCAGAAATTTATTTAGGACAAATGCAAACTAGCAGGAACTGTGTAAAATATTCAGCACACAACATGAGTTGGACACAATCAGGTACCCCTGCCGCACCCTTGAGAATCTGGCTTGTGGATGCTCTTCCAACACTGGGACCGTTTGACCACAGGTAAATTCAGCTCATAGAGGTCATCATTGCCTGAGCCAAGCCTGTCACACAAAGTGGTCTGTCTGAACTGGCTCTCAAAACTCACTAACCAGACTGTGCTTCCAGTTGATATGGCATTTTGTAGGCAGCATAGATCAATTGGAAAAGTGAATTATTCCCGGTTAGTGACTAATAATAAGATAATAACATTATAACCACCTCCCAAAAAATGTGTAGGAGCTGAAGAAAATGTAGCAAGAGCAGAAAAACTGAATTAAGTTATGCAAAAAAAATCAAGAGTGGGTGACTTTGCGAGAAGGCAAAGAGCAGTTAATGTGGCTTCAGAATTAAATTACTCCTCTGTTATAGATGAATTTAGCACCACAAAATGTAGGTAAATGTATTTAAATGATCATAGAGCTTATAAATCCAATAAATCATTATGATCTTACTGAGATGGCTTGGTTCACTTTTTTTTTGAACCTAAAAACACCTCATAACAGCCTGCAGTGAGATCTGGGGCCTGCCGCTGTGCCCAAACAGGTTTCATCCTTGTCCACTGTGATCCTTTCTGGTTCTAGCTCAGAGACAGCACTGGCCAGCCTCTCTGTCTGAACATCTCTCTCAGATGTCTGTGCAGGTCTCAGCTCCTTGGAGGGGCCTTCTCTGATCACTCACCCAAAAGAGGACACCACCTCTTCACTCTCAGTCTCACCTTCTCCCACGACCAGTCTTTCTCTCTCCCATAACCTTGTTTTGTATCTTTTGTATCTTTCATAGCCCTTCCTACTTTATGAAAGAATCCCATCTTAGCCGGGCATGGTGGCTCACACCTGTAATCCCAGCACTTTGGGAGGCTGAGACAGGCGGATCACAAGGTCAGAAGATTGAGATCATCCTGGCTAGCATGGTGAAACCCCTTCTCTACCAAAATACAAAAAATTAGCTGGGCATGGTGGCTTGTGCCTGTAGTCCCAGCTACTCGGGAGGCTGAGGCAGGAGAATCACTTGAACCCGGGAGTCAGAGGTTGCAGTGAGCCAGGATGGCACCACTACACTCCAGCCTGGGCAACAGAGCGAGACTCCATCTAAAAAAAAAAAAAAAAAAAAAGAATCCCATCTCATTTAGCTGTCCATTTGCAGGCTCACCAGAATAAGTGGGAGATGGGAAAGACGGTAGAACATGGTGTTTGAGAGGAAGGCCATGGGGCCAGGGAGCTCTGCCACTCACTCACTGAGACCAACCCTGGGCAAGTGACTGGATCTCATGGGGCCTCGCTTTTCTCATCTGTAAGACTGGGATGATAATACCCTCCTCCTAGGGCTGTTTTGAAGATTTGATGAATGAATGGACGTAAGGCAATTAGAACAATGTCTGGAACATAATAAGCTCTGTATGCGTTTCTAAAACTTTTTTTTATCATGGAATATTTCCAATACAGACAAAAGTAGAGAAAACAGTAGATGTGGAGCATTCTTGATCTGAAAATCTGAAATCCAAAATGTTCCAAAATCCAAAACTTTTTGGGCACCAACAGGACGCCACAAGTGGAAAAGTCCACACCTGACCTCATAACACATGAACTTTGTTTCATGCACAAAATTATTTTAAATATTGCATAACAACACCTTTGGGCTATGTCTATAAGGTATATATGAAACATAAATGAATTTCATGTTTTGAGATGGATCCCATCCCCAAGATACCTCATTATGATATGTAAATATTCCAAAATCCGAAAACTCTGAATTTGAAACACTTCTGGTCCCAAGCACTTTTTGTTTAAGGGATACTTGCCTGTATAATAAATCCCTATTTACCCATTGCTGAGTTTCCATAATTGCCAATTTAAGGTCAATTGTGTTTCATCTATATTTTCATCCATTTCCCCCCAGTTTTAGGTTATTTAGAAACAAATTACAGACTTTACATAGTTTTACCAGTAAATATTTCAGGAAGTATCTCTAAAGGTAAAGACTCTTCATTTTATTTTATTTATTCTTTAGAGACAGAGTCTCACTCTACTGCCCAGGCTGGAGTGCAGTGGCATGATCACAGCTCACTGCAGCCTCAAACTCCTGGGATCAAGAAATCCTCTTGCCTCAGCCTCACAAGTAGCAGGGATTAGAGGTACACGCTACCGTGCCCAGCTAATATCTTTTTTTTTTGTAATTTTTGTAGAGATGGGGTCTCATTGTATTGCCCAGGCTGGTCTTGAACTCCTGGGCTCAGGCAATCCTCCTGCTATGGCCTCCCAAACTGCTGAGATTACAGGCGTGAGCCACCACACTTGGCTGAGCGCTCTTTATTTTAAACATAACAACAATATCATTATCTCACCAAAAAATAATTAACACGTTACCATTATCACACCTTGAAATTGAACTTTTGTCTCCCTTGGCCTCTGCTATATCCCCAGGCGCTAGAATAAGGTCTAGCATATGGTAGGTGCTCAATAAATAGGTGTTGAATACAAGAGCGACTTCTCTCCTTGCTTTAAAGGCCTCTGAAGCTTCCTCCATTCAGTTAGATTTGTCTGCTATGTACACACTTTCATATTAACTTTGGTTTGAATACTATTTAATATCTTATAGTCCTGGGGGTGGGGGTTAGGAGGCACTGGGGAGGTATGAGAGCATCAACTATATTCAACAAACATCTCCTGCCCCCCTGCTGAATGTCTAGCCCCATCTCAGGCCCTGGGATGCAGGGGTGGTATAAGGCACCATTGAATGAAACCAGCTCAAAGTTCATGTAGAAGAATGCAGAGCCGGGAACAACCAGATCCTGCGAAAGAGAAGAATATGGGGGAAGAACGTGGCTTATTAGAGATCAGAACATATTAAGGCCCCTATAATCAAATCTGAATGGTGCTGGTGAGGAAGCGATACACAGATCAGTGGAACAGAACAGACAGCTCAGAACTAGATCAAAGTATTCATGAGAATTTAATATGTGGCAGAGATGGTATTTCAATTATGCTGGAAAAGGAGCAACTGTTTTATTAATCATGCCAGCACAACCAGCTAGCTTTTGTAAGAAAGTTGAAACCTCCTCTTACAATCACACACATAAATAAACCCCAGATGGATTAAAGAGTTAACAGCCCCCAACATTAAAATAATAAATATCTTGGGAGAAAATGTAGGAAATGACAAGGGTGATCTCAGAGCATTTTTAAAAACACCAAGAGAGTCATATTTTTAAAGAAAGACATATTTTACTACATAAAAATTACTTTTGTGGCAACAGATATTCACAACATTGATATAAAAACAAAAGATTTAAGCACAAAACTATTTGCAACACAGATATCAAGCAAAATGTTAATATCTATATATACAAAGAGCTGTTATAAACTGATAAGCAATGAACAAGGAGAACTGGAGTTAGGCAAAGGATAAAAATAGGCAAGACATAGTACAAATCTAAATGGCCAACAAACATACAACAATATGCACACTCACTATTGTATAGGACATTAACTGAGATTTCACTTTGCCCCTATTAGACAGGCAAAAATTAAAAATAATGCTAACACCTGTTGCTGGAATGGCTGCTGGGAAACAGTAGGAAAGCACTCATGAATTGTTGGAGAAAACGCAAAGTGTTACAGCACTTTTGGAAAGCAATCTGGCAACATTGACTAAAATAAAAAATACATAGTCTCTTCAATTGAGCAATCCCCCTCCTGGGAATCTATTCCATCAAAATAAAATCTCCAGTTAGAAGGATGTATGTACAAGGAGGTTTATGGCAGCACTGCTTATAGCAGAGGGAAAAAAAAATTGGAAATAAAGTGAACGTCTGTCAATAGAAGACTGGATGAAGAAATTATAGTAGTTCCTCACTTTGAAAAATGATGGTGCCATTAAAAGAATGAATTAGAGCTGCAGAGGCTGACTTGGAGGGATTCCCACGGGTGGTGGTGTTTGAATGAGTAAAGCAAGACACAGAAAGGGTGCCTCGTATAATCCCATTCTGTAAAAGAATGGTCCAGCTCTCTGTATGTGAGTGGCATCTGGATATGCGCAGGTGTGTTTGTGTGTGAAGACGATCTGCGTGTCTATTTTGCTTATGATTGCTTGAACACCTAGAGATATATCGGTTGTAACATGGGTACGGAGATGGGAGAGGGATATATACATAAAGAGGAAAGAGACAAGCAAAAGAAAAAAAGCAAGGCTGAAAAGGGACTAGCAGGTATGACTTCACCTCGATTATGCCCTTCTGCAGATTATCTACATATGTATCTATGTTGAAAGACAAAATGATTTCATGGGAGAATTCATAGCACAGAAGGGCCCGGCTTGTTGAGAGAAACAAGAGGAGTGTAGCTGGAACTCTGTGGGAGTAGGGCAGGAAGGTGATGGAAGAGATTGAAGGTCAAATCTCACAAGCTGTGTGTAGACGTCATCAAAGGTTCTAAGCAGAGAGATGCTACAATATCACACCTTTCTTGAGCATTCTCGTGTACCACAGAGTCCTAGGTCCTTGATATAAATTCATAAATTCTATACTGAGGAGTCATTATTATTTTTCCTATTTTCCAGACAAAGAAATGAGGCTCCGTGAGGGGGAGGCAGTAGGAGCTCAACATGTAGCTCCAGACCCCAGGTTCTTTCCACTATCCCACTCAGTTTGGCCTCCATAGGTAAATATAGTTCCCTTAGCAGCAAGAGCAGGCGGAGACATAAGCCCTGAAGCTCAGCAAGGAGCTGGGAAGAGGTCCAGGGCTCAGCAGACACCTGCTTGCCACTCTGAGTAAGTGGAAGTGGGGGAGTCACCTAACCCGCGGAGTCTCTCCCCACTATGGGGCCCTAATTGTGTACTGGGCAGGACTTTGGCAACAGGCAGAGCTGTGTGCAAATTACAGCTCTGCCATTTGCTGGCTGTTTGGCTTGGCAGGGTCAGCCCCCTGAGCTTCAGTTTTCCCAAGGTTTTTATAGCATTAAGGGAGAAAATGCCCAACACATAGTAGGTTATCTATTAATAGGAGTCTCTATAGTACTAGAGCCTCAGGGCCTAGAATCTTGACTGTATCACATATTAGCTGTGTGACCTTGGGCAAGTTGCTTACCCTCTCTGTGCCTCTTGAGGGCCATCACAGAACTTCCCTTGAGGACTTGCTATAAAGATTAAATGAGTTCATATGACACCAAGTATACCAAGCACACAGCCATACTCCCCAAGTGTCATGGAAACCGGGTGGTCAACGTGGTCTCCTGACATTGAGAGAATATGCTATTATTATCAATTTCCTCCTCTTCTCTCTAACTTACCCCTACCCCACATTTATCAACAACCTGTGTTTATTCAGGCCCTGTTCTGTGCCAAACCATGTGCAAGATACAAAGGGCACAATGACAACCACAATGGACAAGGACCCCATCGTTCAGAACTTGAGGCTTCTTAGGAGAGATGATGAAACAGCATTTGCAGGACAGGAGGTGAGGACCCAGGGAAGAGGGTGCAGGAACCTAGCTAGGACAGCAAGTCTAGCCCAGTCTGCGGGCCAGGGATCCACCCCTGGGTACCTGTGGAAGCCCCCCGATGTCCGTCTGCATGGCAGTGGGTTCTGAATTCCAAGCAGGCCCATGGAGTGAGTTGGCGTGTTAGCACATAGTAGGTTACTTGGCTCAGATAAGACTACCCATAAATATACCAGATAGCCCAACTGATACCAACAGAGGGACTCGGGCACCCACAGGTTGTTGAAAAGGAAGCTATTTTAGGAAAAGAGGAACTTGACAATCCGCAAAACCCATCAGGGTCCAGGAGATGGGGTCTTTGTCTACCCATTACAGTGTGTTCCTAATCAGACCTGTTTTCAGAATATAGTGTTGGGCCACAACTTATAGATGTTCAGAACCCTTGGTGATTTTGACCTCCTCTGTAAGGAGCCAGGTCAACCACATTTATGGAATTGGTGGTGCACTTGGCAGCACAGACAAAGCACTCATTATGAAAACGTAGCAGGAGAAACCCCCATTCAATCCCCATGACAAAAGCAGCCCCATGACTCTGCCATCACACCCATTTTACAGATGAGCAAAAAGTCAGAGAGAGGTACAATAACCTGTCCCAAGCTTGGGATAATGGGGCAGAGCCAACATTCCTCGAGCCTTTGGACACAGGAGCAGCCTGTTGGTCCTCTCACCTACTGCTCTTTGGGTCTGTACCTCAATATGACACCAACACCTCCTTCACTTGCACCAGACGCCTAAAAAGAAACTCCACCAGGCTCAGAACCCTTTGCTATTGAGCCAGCTTCAGACGTGACTAATGATTCTTTAAGCCTGCAGGGTCGGGAAGCCCTGTTCCTTAAAAGGCAGGACAGCAGGCTGTCGGACTGCTGTTCAACTGGGGGAAGGGGAAAGGTCACCTCCTCTATGAAGCCCTCCCTGCTATGTCCCTGTGACCCACCCCATGGACCTCCTTGATCACACTGCATTCAGTCATTGGTTCCTGCCGGTGACTGACTTAGTTTTATCTTTGTGTCCACTGCACAGAGCTTAGCACATAGTAGGCACTAAGTTAGATTGAAGGCACCCCCTGACCAGGCCCCGCCTCCCTTTCCAGCTGATCTCTGCCAGTTCCCTCCTAGCACTTTGGAGAAATAGAATTACCTGTAGCTCCCACAAATGCACCATGCACTTACCACAATTACAATTAAACTATCAATCAATTGTGTAGTCAATTACGTAGTGGCTGCCTTCTGGGAATGTATGTTCCTAATGTTCCGAGAGGCAGGGAGTACTCCAGTCCTATTCACTGATGTTAGGTGCTCAACAAACTTATGGGACTTTTTAATTTAAAAAAAAAAAAAGTTTTTTTAAGAGATGAGGTCTTGCTCTGTGGTCGAGGCTGAAGTGTGGTGGCACGCTTATAGTTCACCGCAGCCTCAAACTCCTGGGCTCAGGTGATCCTTCTGCCTCAGCCTCCCCAGTAGTTGGGACTCCAGGTGTGAGCCACATCTGGCTAATTTTTAAATTTTTTTTGTAGAGATGGGGTCTCACTGTTTTCCAGGCTAGTATCCAATTTCTGGCCCCAAGCAATCCTCCTGCCTCGGCCTCCCAAAGCTCTGGGATTATGGATGTGAGCCACTGCACTTGGCACTAACTTTTGCTGAATAACTATTTCATGCCCCATATAGGTTGGGTCTACTATTCCCTTTGCCTAGAAAACCTTTCCCTGGCCTTCTCTGCCTCTAAGTCTTCCACTTATCCTTCAAGACCCAGAGCAGCTCTCCCAGCTCCTGGAAGCCCTTCCTGAATATCCAGGTGGCGTTGTCTGTCCACTACAGGGTGTGTTCCCTAGCATGCCTCCCTCCGCCCTCTCCCCATCCTGTTGCCCACATTATATTGAGCCCTGCATGCAGGTCTCTCTCCACTTGAGAGTGACTGCTTCTGAGCAGGGCTACGTCTGTTTCTTTCTTTCTTTTTTTTGTATTTTATTCAAAACACATAACACCCAGTAGGAGCTCAACATGTAGCTAATATTTATTTAGGGCTTACTACGGAGTAGGCGTGGGAAGTACTTTTTCTACATTATTTTATTTAATTATCAGAACAGCACCTCAAGGCAGGTGATGCTGCCCCCATTTTCCAGACAGGGCCAGTGAGACCTCAGGCTGTTGTCACTTGAGGCCACAATGCTGGCCTGCATCAGACTGGACCCCGACCCCCAGGATCCACTCCCCAGCCTGCATGGCTGTCCCCAGCAATCCTGGGGACACCTCCTCCTTGATCTGCCGAAATCCACATGGAAAGAAGTCCCCTCCGTTTCTTCCCTTTTCACCTCTCCAGGTTCCACTCTGCCCAGGGACCTCTGAAGCCACCCATTGTCTTCTCCTAAAGACCCCATTGTCCTCCCTGTGCAGAGTTCCAGGCCAGCCCTCCTGGGATACTCCAGCCAGGCCATTCCCTTCCCTTCCTCCTCTTCCTGCTTTGCTTCTGCTTCTCACCCTGCTGACCCAGGGGTTTTCCCATTCAATCCACATGTATTTGCCACATTGGGCCACACATATTTACTGTGTGCCAGATACCACGTGCAAGGCAGGGAAGCAGTAACATAGCCGGGCCCCATCCTTGCACTATAAATAAGAAAATAAAAATCTATGGGAGGTGAGGGTGGCTGCTAAGGGCTAAGGATAAAACTTCAGCAGATAAAGAGTTTGCAATGATGGGGAGTGAGACAGGCTTCATTGGGTGGTCAGTTGGGCCTCTCAGAACAGACACCTGTGGGAAAGAGGGCACGAGCCCGATGCCAAGAGATGCGTGGCCCAGGCGGAGAAACGGTGATGTCAAGGCCCTGAGTGGGCAAGGGACCAGGATCCAGGGACAGAGGGAGGCTGATTTGGCTGGAGGGAGGAAGGCAGGAGAGTGGGGCTGTGAGGGGGCTAAGCCTGGTCACCAGGCCATGCAGGGCCATTCTGTGTCCCCTCTCCACCTTGCTTGCCCAAGTAGGTTGCGTGCATCTCACTGTCTCCATCGCTATTGGATAGCCGCTCCTTTAAAAATCGCTGGAAATGGCCCTGCTTCCTGCCCTGGCCTCTCTCACAATCTTTTTTTTTTTTTTTTTTTGAGACAGAGCCTCACTCTGTTACCCAGGCTGGAGTGCAGTGGCACAATCTTAGCTCACTGCAACCTCCACCACCCGGCTTCAAGTGATTCCTCTGCCTCAGCCTCCCAAGTAGCTGGGATTATAGGCATGCACCACCATGCTGGGCTAATTTTTGTATTTGTAGTAGAGATCGTGTTTCACCATGTTGGCCAGGTTGGTCTCAAACTCCTGACCTCAAGTGATCTGCCGGCCTCGGCCTCCCAAAGTGCTGGGATTACAGGTGTGAGCCACCACACCCGGCCAGCTCATATTCTTCTTCTTGCTCTTCCTCTGCATCTTTATGTGCACATTTTTTATTTCATTTTTTCTAATCTGTAACTTTGTGATTAATTTGCTATCAGAATTTTCTTTGCTGTAGTTTAGTTTTGGGGGAAATCTCATACCAGCCGGGGGGTGGTGGGTTGAAAGGCTAGCGTGCTTGGTGGCTCAGGACTCTCTTGGGGGTGACAGTCCTGTCCTGGGTGGGAAAGTGACTTCTCTGTGGGGATTCTTGTTCTGGACATGGCTATACCCAGGGTTTCTGCTTTCTGTTTTTACCAGGCTCAGAGCTAACCACTCCCCTTCAACACATCCCACTTTCTAAGCTTGGTCAGCCCTGCTCTGCCCACCACCCCAGCCTCCTTTGGCATCAGATCCTGGGGCTCCCTGAGGTTTTCTGGGCAGTTCCCAGATGTAAGGAGTAAAACCTGCCATCTCATTACATCTCCTTCCCTCCCAGCCCCGGGGCCAACAGCCCCATCTAGACCTTTCTGCAGTGGGTGCTCCAGCATGGGGCTGAGCAACTCTGTGGCCCGAGAGAGAAGAGCAGGCCCTGGGGGAGAAGCGAGGGTGGCACCAGGCCAGTGCCACTCCCCCAGGGGAGGTCAAGTCTGACCCTCACTCTGCCTCACTCCTGCACACACCCCATCATCAACTCAGGGTACCCTCATTTCCCCAAGTTCCACTCACCCACTAACATTCAGGGGCTTCTAGAGACCTGCTTCTCCTATCTTCCAAATACGTAAATAGGGTTTCCCTTGCTTAATCCTAACAACCATAACCTTATTCATACATTCAAAAAATATTCCCTGAGCATTTATGCTGTTCCAGGCACTTTCTAGGCACTGGGGATACTGCAATGAACAAGATAGATATCATCTGATGTCCTGGGGGAGGTGGGTGGGCAGGAAGAGATTTCAGATGATAAACAAGAGAATGTGAGGCTGTGATCATGAAAGCAAAGCAGGCCAGTGTCATCCAGAGTGACCAGCACTGCTGCCCTGGAGGTGATATGGAAGCTAAGACCTGAACAAACATTCCTGCAGGGGAGGCAGCAAGTGCAAAGGGCCTACAAGAAGAACAAACTAGGTCCCTATTTACAAGTGAGGAAGAGCTGAGGCTCAGAGGGGTTAAATCGCTGCCTAAGGTCATGAAGCATAAGCTGCAGAGAGCTGAGATTCAAACCGAGGGCCTTCTGATGGCACAGCCTGTTCTCTTCCCAGTTTGCTTATGGCAAGACGAGGGCCCCCAGGACAGCAATGCCGATGGATGGTCCCTAACCCCAAGCACAGCAGTCTCTCTGGATTGGGCCCCAGCTTTCCTGTCCACCCCCATCAGTCACACCAACCTCCTTGAAGTCCCTCGTGCGGCTTCATGCCTCTTTGCACTTGTATGTGTGATTGCCATGCTTGGAATGCCCTCCTCTGTTCCTTCACCAGTTGTGATCTTTTCTCCTGGTCTTTGAGGGTCAGCTTATCCCCAAAGCCTTCTGAGACACTGCAAGACAGAAATGAATGCTTCCTGCCCTGGACTTCCACAGCCCTTGCCTTCATTATGTTCATTTATTCATCAAATAAGCATTGCAGACCTACTACGTACTGGCTCTGTAGCCCTAGAGAGCAGAGCAGGCTTGCTTAGCTGTGGGAACCGACAGCTGTGAGAACTGATGCGCCAGACGAGTTCAGACACAAAACAGCAACTCAAAACATGGAAGTGCCACAAGAGGATGAACACAGGGACTGTGGGCACACGCAGTGGGGAATGCCAGACACCCACTCCTCTCCCAGGCTGGTTGGCATGCCCTGGGTCAGCTATGTACTTTCCAATCCTCCCTGATTATGATATTTTAATCCCATCTTCATCCCTTGTACCTCAGCACAGGGCCTGACACAGAGAAGACATGCATTTGAAATTTTATAGCAAGAAAAATATTCATTTTGATTGAACACCTACTGTGTGCTAGGCTGTGTTCCAAGTGTTGGAAATACAATGTGAACAGCCCAAATCTCTTCTTTCATGAGTTCTTTACATTGCTAATTAATTAATTCACTTGCCAAGAAGATATAGGCTGGGAGCAGGGAGTGAAGAGGTAATAGAACGTAGCAAAACTAGATACACGGCCAAAGCAGAATTCTTGGCTTTCCCCACCTTCCTGCATCATCCCCTGCCCCACACACACACCCCAACCTGCTCCTGCCTCACAGTTGCCCATCTTAGTAATGGACACCAGTAGTCATCAATTTCTTCCCAAATACCCCGATTACCTTCACTTTTCCCCATCCCATTGCCATTGTGGTGGTCCAAGCCACCATCACTTCTTGCTTAGAGCTCAGCAGCAATTGCCTTCCTGTCTCCCAGTGTCTTCCTGCCTCCAGGGTTGGTTCTCTCCTTCCATATCCCACCAGCTTCTTCCAGGTTGTTGCTCATCCTCCAACCTCCCCTCCATGGTCTCCAGGTGCTTGGCCTAACACATTTCCTATCATTGTCTTAGGATCGGCCATGCTTAGTATTTTTCCCCCAAAACTGGCCAATCATCTTACTCACACTTCTGAACCTTTGCACAAACTACTCTCCCAGCCTGAAATGTTCCTCTTCTCAGCTTCCCTTGCACCCTCTAACCACCCCCAGCTTGGCCTAGGTACCTCTTTCTCATTCCTACATGTCAGTTTAAATATCCTGTCCTCAGGGAAGATGTCCTTCAGCCCCTAAGGTTGAGTTTGGTCTCCCTGCCCCATGGCCTCACAATATCCTTTGTATTATTTTCTTTACTTCGATGTGGTCGTTCTTCATCTGTATACTCCTCCTGCTTGTCTGTAGGTTCTTGGATGCAGGGACTACGTTTGTCCTGATCACCATCACTAGGAATTAGCATGGTATGTCACACACAGTGGGTGCTCAATTCTTTGAATGAATAAACTCTGGACCTGTAGGAAGTAGAACTTGAAGCAGTGCAAAGTGTTCAAATATCTGCTGTTACATTTACTTGAAATATGACCTTGCAACTTGATAGATGACCTCTCTGAGCCTCTGTTTACTCTCCCTATAGGAAAAGTTATTAATATGCATTTGCAGGATTGTTGGGGAGTTATGTGTGAGAATCTGTGTGAAAATGCCTGGCTCCTAGGAGTTACTCCACAAATGCCTGGCAAATCTGTGGATGAGGAGTAAATAGCCTCAGTGCAATACCATTACTCAGAAAGCTCATATCTTGGGTCAAGACACAGCAGTTAAGACAGAGGCTCTCAAGCCAAGCTGCTGGACTAGACTCCCAGCTCTGCCACTTACTGTCTGGGGAACCTTATGCCAAATACTTAAACCATTATGTGACTCAGTTTTCCTCATCTGTAAAATGGGAATAATGATGGCACCTACCTCATAGGATCATTGTGGGATTTAGCTTAGGTCAGTTCCTGGCACATAGCAAATGCCCATCAAATGTTAGCTTTTCACATGCTATTAACATGTAACACTGACAATCACACCATAATGCTCGTATCTGTGGTCCTCCTAGACAGATGAAGAGACAAATTTCAGAGAGGTTAAATGACTGTCCAAGGTCAAATGTGAGGAAATGGCAACCTTGTGCTTCAAGGCCAGGTCTGCTGCACTAAAATCCCACGTTATTTTCACTACATCAAAGAAGCAGCTCAAAATAGGTCTGTGGCATTTCAGCTAATTTCCTCTAAGCCCTTCCCAAGTAACCAAATGCAGGCATACAAAGCTGCTCCCCTAAGAGCATCCATTTAGCAGCTACTAAGTACTAAGTATGCCTGGTGTGTCCCAACCATTCAACAGGGCTTGTACCAAGCCAGCTCTTCCCAGGTAGCCTTGCATGGTGAGCAGAAGGGACCTAAGGAGAAGAACTAGGTTGGGAAGGGGAGGGGTGTGGTACAGGAACCATATAGAAACAGAGGCTGGAGGCCGGGCACGGTGGCTCACGCCTGTAATCCCAGCCCATTTTGGGAGTCCAAGGAGGGCTGACTGAGGTCAGGACTGAGGTCAGGACTTCAAGACCAGCCTAGCCAACATGGTGAAATCCTGGCTGTACTAAAAATTCCAAAAATTGGCTGGGCAAGGTGGCAGGCACCTGTAATCCCAGTCACTCGGGAGGCTGAGACAGGAGAATCACTTGAACCCAGGAGGCGAGGGTGTGGGTGAGCCAAGATCATGCCACTGCACTCCAGCCTGGGTGATACAAGGAGACCCCATGAGGAAGAAGAGGAAGAAGAGGAAGAAAGAAGAAGAAGAAGAAGAAGAAGAAGAAGAAGAAGAGGAAGAAAAAGAAGAAGGAGAAGAAGAAGGAGGAGGAGGAGGAGGAGAGGAGGAGGAGGAGAAGGAGGAGGAGGCCAATTTGGATGTAAAAGAGGGGAGGAGAAATGAGAGAAAACCCACACTTATTGAGTGCATACTATGTGTCAGGCACTTCACGTCTACAATTTAATCCTTACTGTGATCACTCCAGCCATTGTTCATCAAGTATCTACTATATATAAAGCTATACTCCAGGTCCCAAAGATATAACAGTGAACAAGACACAGCTGTTGACCTCAAAGAGGTTTCAAATAAGTGAAAGAGACAACACATACACAATTATGAGCTATACGTGCGATGGTGGAGGTCTGAATAGGATAGGTGGCTTGGCAGTAGCTGGGAAGAACTTCAGAAAGGAACAGGTAGGTGCTAAACTGCCCATTTAACATATGGTAAGACTGAGGCTCTAGGAACTTAACTTGTTTGGAGCTATGCCATTACTGAGTAGCAGAGTCAAGCTGTGCCCCAGGCCCATTCTGTCTCCAGTAGTCTCTGCACTGTCCATGCTGGCAGCCTAAAAGCTGTTGCTTTCCTCCCCCACCCCTTTCCCTTTTCTCAATGATCATCTGGCCAGAAGATTAATCAAATGCTGCTAAAGCTGCAGCCGTTGTCAGTGGCTAAGATGTTAGCAGATTCTGTGGACAAACAGAAGCTTCTGAGCCTCTGTTACTGATTTCTTTTGAGCAAAACCTTCAGGGGTTGGTCTGAAAGGGGGAGAGAGATGAGAAGAATGGCTCTATCTGCAGTCTAAAGGGATTTTTGGACAGGTCAAAGACAACCAAGGTGACAGCAATAAGTGAGGGCAAGGCTCTTTGGCTCATGTGACTACCCCCAACCTTCTCTCCACTCCCCCCAAAAGCTTAGCCTATCTCAGAGGAGGACTTGTTGCCTGCCCCTCACCTTTGCTTCAAGGACAGAAGAAAATCAGCCACCTGAGCCACTGGCTGAACTTGCTAGGTTCCCTGCTGTATGGGATCAGCAGATTAGCCCTCTCCATTCCTGTACCCATCCCCATCTTCACAGGACAAGAAACCAAAGTGGAGAAGTCTTCAGCCTGCAAATATAGCTCTTGCTGTACCCCAAAGGTACCTTAGCAGAGGTTGAGGAAATCTTGGTTCTGTTCTCCAGACACCAGGACCCTCTCCCAGATACCAGAAGCACAGCAATTGCCCCTCATGGGAGCCTTTCCCTTCTAAGAAAAGAACAGAGTGGGAGAAAGGAAGTTTTGTGCTGGGCGAAGAAACAGGTAGTTTTTCTATGTCAAAAAAAATACACTGGTCATACCTGCAGACCAACTCTGACCTGAGCGAAGGAAGTTAGGCAATGGACTTTACACCAAAGAAAGACTGTTTTTAATTCACTCATCTTTTATATACCTCTGATAATCACCAGACCACTGAGAAAGATGTCAAGCAAATAATCTCAAGAAAAAAAGTAGAGGGAGAGAGAAGAAAGTACTGAATAATTGAATTATGGGATTGAAACCTCTCAACTCCCCCTGCCTCAATAGACTCATCATACTCACATCCTCTCCAGGGTCCCCCCCGCAACACACACACACACAAAATATCAAAAACATGAACCCATCTCATGCCTCATGTGCTCTTACTCACTTAACCATAAAAGTGATCAGAGAAAAAAATGTAATCCGTAGCAGCAGGAATTAATGTGCTTCTTTCTACCAGAGGTCACGTTAAGGAAAAGTTGCACATAAGAGAAATGAAAGGTGACACTGTAATTAACCCACAAACAATGATTCTTCTGAGAAAGAGGGGAGGGTTTCGGTGTTCCAGTGTTCATGGAAGGAAGATTTTTTATCTCTTCCCAACCAGTTTATGAATGACATAGGATACTTAGAAGGATTCACATTTCACCCACTTCCCCTGAGAACATGTTTATCCTTGCAATGAAAATCATTGCCCAAGCCCCAGCTACGAGTCGCCCTTTTGCACCCTTTTCCACGAATAATCTTCCCAAAATGTCTGCTTGTAGAAGCAAGATTTGGAATTTCACGGAAAACTACAGAGAGACACAGAGCAATGCACACCCCCTGGTAAGCCAGAGAGAGACAAAGAGAAGAGAGAGGAAAACCGAAAGAAGATACATCTAACGGACCAACAAAATAAAACAAATCCCCAGCAAAGCAAAGTGAAAACAATGATTTAAAAAACACATAAAGACGTGTTTGTAATTACCCGTCCAGGTTACATGTTCGCCGCTTCCAGGCAGAGAAACGGCTGGTTGAAGTTTTGTGCCCGTCTGACTGTGATGGGAGGGTTGTATTTGAAGCTCTGGGCACGTAGAGATGGAATGAGAAGGAGGCTGAGCTGGAAGAAACACCAAGGGGGGAGGGAAGGGGGGAGAGAGAGAGAGAGAGAGAGAGAGAAAGAGAGAGAGAGAGAGAGAGAGAGAGAGAGAGAGAGAGAGCGCGAGCTATCTCTAGCTACGCCTTCCTCTAAGCTCCGGGAGCCCAGGAGAGCGCTCATTTTAGGATTTGGGAGAGGGGTAAAAAGAGGAAAGGCGGCCCCCGCTCTGCGCTGGCCTTGCTGCCCCGGGGAGGGAGGACTCTGGCCAGCGCCCCCCTCCTGGCGGGCGGCCCTGGGAGCCAGCCGGGGAGCGCGCGGAGCGGGCGGCGCAGGGAGCTGTCCGGTTCAGCACCACCCGTAATGCAGTAGGTGGGAGCGCCTCCGCGGGCGCCCAGCCGGTAGCGAGTGGGGGGCAGGCGCGCGGCCCACCCTGCAGCAAGACGCCGGCTCCCTCGTTTCCAGGAGCTTTGCAGATAGGGGGAGGGAAATCCGCCTCGATTCTCCAGGAGAAACCCCCTCTCTCCCCCACTTCGCCAACACTACCCCCGCCACCAACAACAATAACCGCCGCCGCTGCTCGTCCTGCTGCCGCCGCCGCCGCCGCGCCTGCCCGCCCTGCCGCCGCCGCCGCCGCCGCCGCCGCTGCCCGGGCAAAACCATGGAAAGCGAGACCCCCGCACCTGTGCAGCTGAGCTCAAGGGCTTACAGAATACTGGGAAGTCTGGTCTGAAACGAAAGCGCCGAGACCCCCCAAGGAAGAGAACTGGCGAAGCAAAGGATTTTCATGGCGCAGGCCGCAGAGCCGAGAACGAAGACCGAAGGTTGCATCTCGGCTCTCACAGTCTCTAACTGTCTAGGTCCCGACCATGAGAAATGGTGTTGAGAATTCGGCTGTTCCCTGGTTCACTGTGGAAGCCATCTCCAAATTAACTATCACATATGGAAACTGGAGACCAGAATTTTAGAAAAAGAGATTAAGGCATCTCACTTGGGGGGGTGGGGGGTGTCTTTTTATTTTTTTTTTCCTTTTCTTTTTAAAAAAAAAACACTGCAACTGGAACAGTTTCTGATCTCAAAAGGCAAGCCTCTTCCCGTGTGATCTTTATAATTTACACTCTTTTCCGTGAGCTTTCTTACCTCCCTTTTTTTATAACTCTCCATATTCTCTATTCATACATATATCCATTATATTAGTAGTGGAATAATTTTTATTTTTATTTATTTTTTTTGGCTTTAGTACTTGCACCCTCACACACACTCTCCCGAGAACCAGAAGTCGGTTGGGTGTTTATATAATGAAGAATTATGGGGCTGTTTGATCGAGGTGTTCAAATGCTTTTAACCACCGTTGGTGCTTTCGCTGCCTTCAGCCTGATGACCATAGCTGTGGGAACCGACTATTGGCTCTACTCCAGAGGGGTTTGCAAGACCAAAAGTGTCAGTGAGAATGAAACCAGCAAAAAGAACGAGGAAGTTATGACCCATTCCGGATTATGGAGAACCTGCTGCCTAGAAGGTACTTGACTTCCCATCTCCTCCCCCCTCTCCACCCCACCCCTCCCCTTTCACTCCCCCCTCCCCACCCTCCTCCAAATAAGTCCCCTTTACATTCCACCATTTTCTTAGTTCACTCCTTCCACCACCAATCAAGGTTGGTTGGGTTAGTTTCAGAGGAAAGAAAATCAATAAGCAAAACCCATACTCTACTCCCTCGCCTCCGCCACCCCCTCATCCCCTCAAACATCCTCATTGGAATAATCTATGACATGGTGAAAACGACAAGAGATTGTCTCTAAAAGTCAAAGGTGTTCTGCCTGCTTTGGAGTCATTAGGATTTACCATCCGATTTAGCATTGCCATCTATGAGAGGGTAAAATAATTGCTTCTGTGTATGCTGTTTCTCTTTTCGCAATGAAGAATTCAAAAATGCTCTTCCCTTTTCCCTCCTCTTCTCCTTACTCCCCAAAAGTCCTAGACACACCACCATCTGCAAATCTCCTTATTTAAAAAAGAATATGTTGTTTCTAAGAATCCTTATTTGGTAAATCCTAATTATTCCAGGATCTCAAGCTGAGTTCAAGAGCATTTCGTAATGTCTATGAGCCACACATATCACTCGAGGTGGCTGGCTGCGTGTGTGTATTTGTGTATTTTAACGTTTACAAAGTCTAAAAATACATACGTCTCTCACAGGAAACAAGCCTAAGTTCTAATAAACAGCAATTCACTTGCGGGTTAGGCTTCCACAGAGTGACATGTCTGTCAGCCAGAAGCTAGTAGAGTCAGCATTGCAGCCGGCTTGAGAATCAGACATTGTGCAGGCAGGCAGGGAGGGAGGGAGGGGAGGGCATGGGGAGGTTGAGGGGGGAGTGGGGGTGTCAGCTCTTTGCCTTGATCTTGCGGAGTGTTGAGGCATGTGTGTCTGTGCTGTGGGCACAGGAGCCGCCACGGTGTAAAGGCTGGGGGATCACGCTATGGATGAAGGCATGTACTTCTGGGACACATTAATAAGCACAGAAAAAAAAACTCCTGTGGGTCATCCAACCTGCATTTGGCAACAGACTTTAGTATGAGGGACTGCATTTGAATGGCTATATATGTCTGTGTGTGCAAGCTACAGCCACCCATAGATAGACGTGCACAGAGAGATACATATGCTTCCATGTGGGGGAAAAAAAGAGGCTTATGTGTTTTGCTTCTGTTATGAACCAATACTGGGGGCCGTTTGAGGCAGCGTCGGGAAGCAAGGACTGCAGGATTGTTTGTTAAGCTCGACATGGGATGGTGATGCAGGGAGTTGAGACTAGGAGATGGGGGAGAAGAGAGGGAAATGGATGGGTGAGAGAGAAACTGATGTGGCCCCAGGGTCTAACCCAAACTGAGCAAAAGCCACACTTTCGGAAATGATTACATCTGGGAAAGAGCACAAATCCCATGCCCCCCTCCCAACATTCTTGGTGCAAACGGTTGAGTGATGGCTGAACATGTTTTGAATAGCTAAGTGACTTCATTGAGCGATGGTCTATTTGACGCATACTGCATTTGGTGCCCTTTCTCAATCCAAACCGCTGTCTTTAACATATTCTGCAGAGGAGCTCTATGCTGAATACTATATGCTCTTCCCCAGCCAGAAAATCAATATCAAGAAATTAATAGGGACTGTTTTAAACACATGCACACACACGCCCCCTCCTTAAAAAAATGAAAAGCCTTTCATACAGCTAGTCATTAACAGTGGAAAGACTTCCATTTAATTAAACATTTATGACAGACTTTTATTCCGAAAGAGAAGAAAAGCAAAGTGAATGAGGACCGCTTTAGGGAAATGATCATAGTGGCAATTTGCTTTCCTTGGATTTTAGTTAGATGGATGGAGGGAGATAGGTAGCCAAGAGACTAGAGGAGAGACAAGACATTGTTTTACCATAAATACACCCAGAAATGGGTGGGTTGGCATAAATATACTTTTCTAAATCTGTGTTTTATTTCCAAATTCTTAATATTGTGATCTTTTAAATATTGTGTAATTCCCAGAAGGCAAACAGACTAGAGGTAGCTTTGTATCACTCGTGCATTAAAAAGGCTTAAGTATTTTGATTAAAATTCCATCTGTTTGATGTCCACACCCCCAAATGTGCTGCCCACCCCCTTTAACTTTCTCTCCAAGCTGCACACTCCCTCTCTCCCTGAGTTGTCTGTAAAGGGTTAGAATTGCAACACTTCCCAAGGATTGTGCGATGCGCACAGGCACTGTGGGTTGGGCCATTCTCCCCAGCGGGGCCTCACTACCCCCGGGCAGTACTGTGGGGCCCTGCCAGGCTCTCCTCAGGGATGATACTCCCTTTCCACTTGTAGCCATGGCCAGGGCAGGAAGGGCTGGAGCTCCGGGCCCGCTTTTGACCGGGCCTTTAATTTCCAAAGCCTCTGTCAATTGGAGCTTTGCAGGCCTGGGACCACCTTAGGAAGTTGGGCCTTGGCGACTTAGGAAGTAGTTTGGAGATTGTAAGCCTCTTATTTTCAAAGACTGCACTGATCTCCAAAGGCTGTAAGTTCAGTTGTTTCTGGAAGTTGGCGTAGACAGTCCTTGGGGGCTGTCAGTGTGCTTGCTTTTATGAGCACTCAGAATGGGGTCGCTCTCTATGGAGATCAAGTTGTCAGTGCTTGAGGTTCCCCCAACTTGTGTTTCTTTTGTGTGAAAAATTGGACTTTCAAAAAAGATCCCCCCACCCCCCACCCCTTAACCACTTGATCTGTGTTTTCTGCCCAATCTGGAGAAATTGCGAACAGATTTCACATCTTCTTTCTAAGATGCCGCTAATGACTCCAGATGAAAAACAACCCTGTCTTCCTCTGATCTCTTTTGCTGTCTGGTTTTCATTAGGGCTTTTTGTCTCCTGAGGTGATTATTTTCATTCACCTCTTGATGAAAATAAGAATAGAAAAAAAAAATGTCCTTGCCTCTAAGGCTGCTTTTGAAATTAACTAGTCTGCTGAAGAATGAGAAGATACATGACCACCTGTTAGAGACAGGCACAGGGGGAGAGGGAGAAGGGCCAGGGAAAAAACCACCACCCTTATTTTCTTCCTCTGCAGACTGAAAAGTCTGTGTGTGTGTGTGTGTGTGTGTGTGTGTGTGTGTGTGTGAACTTGAAATCCCCAGCAGGCTGGTGTCCTTAGGGGGATTCGAGGAGCGTGGGTGGGAGATGACAGTGTGTATGTGGATACAGGTAGGTGGAGAGAGACAGAAGTTCATGAACTTTTCAAGAAAGCTGAATTAAGAGTCTCTGCATGGAAAGATGAATTGGCCCTCTCAGAGAAGAGTTCAATGAAATCTACAACAAGATGCGAAAACAGCTTGTTCAAGCAAGGTGTCTCTAGGCTGCCTGGTAGCTTGCTGCTCAGGATATTAGCCTCTGTTGTCACCTAAAGGAAACATCGTCTCCAGGGACAGCAAGAAATTCACTCTTGGTGCTTATTCTCTCCTATGCCTTCCTCCCCTCTGTCTTGGCTCCATGGCTCCCCCAAAGGATTTCCAGACCTTCAGAGGTGAAGCCAACAGTGGGCATAATGTGGCCTGTAGAGGAAGCAGACTCCGTGTTTTCTCTCCCCCTCTGTCCGTTTTGCCTTACTGTGAGGCAGAACAGAAATCTTACTCTCTGTCCAGGCTGTCAAATTCCCTCTGCTGAATATCTGAGCTCCTCATCCATCAGTGGCTTCTCCTTTCTTGCCCCCACCAGGCTGCTTGCTCACAGGGGCTCTGCCAGCCACTCTACATCCTTGTTCTCTTTGAGCAAGAAGTGTCTCTCTCAATGGTCCCAAATCTTTTCCAAGTCATGATGGCCTGCGAGGTGATACAGTGCTCCACGCTCGGCTCAGCCATGGCTCTCTTATTCTGCAGGAAAAAAAAAGGATTCATCTTTTATTTTAGGAAAGCCAATAGCCTTTCCCAGACACGCTTGCCTTCTAGCATGGGTGGGCTGAATCTGGAAGGTACTAACAGGCCTTCACACTGTGCAAGTATTGCTCCATAATTCCCAAGATAATTTGACTTTCTTTAGGTACTTTGCACACAGGAAGCGCATAAGAAATATTTATCAATGGATTGATGCAGAAATTCTTAAAATTACTGAGATGAATGCAAACATCATGAGGATATGTGACAACCAAGTGATCGAGAGAGAGAGAAAGAGGGAGGAGAGTGGGGAGAGAGGGCGAAGAAGAGAGGGAGAGAAAGGAGAGAGGGAGAGAAGGGGGTGCGGAAGTCAGAATGATTTGTTTGTTCTTCCTGGAACTTCTTTTTTTATAAGAATAATAATGAGTCATGAATCCACTATTATAAGATAAGTGAATTCAAAAGGAGTCAGTCATTGAGGCTGCACAGCTCCTAATTGGCTACAGTGAAGGCAAATTATTCAAGGAAAGGTAAAGAAAAATGATCCATGCACACAGCCTCTATAGGAAAGAAAAAAAATATCCAATTGATTTTCTTCCCTTTTCTGCTTCTAAAGTATACCAAAGTTCACTGTGATCTTAATATTCCCCAGAACAGACACCTCTGAGCAGAGAGCAGGCCTTAGAATGGCCCACCCCTGTTTAGCTCCAGCAGAACCTTCTACTCTTTCACAAACCTCCCATCCAATTCAAAGAACCCTGACAACTTTCCCTCAGGCTTGGGTTCTAACCAGCAGCTTTTCCATACAGCCAGGCCTTGCATTCCTAGCCATTCTCACCGTGTTAGCCAAACCCGGCTCCTCTACCTGGAGTCCTGGTCAGTTCACACCACACTCCCTGCCCTTGCTTCCTCTTTCCAGGTGAGCTGAATGAGGCACACAGGAATGAACAACACACCAAAGTCACATGGCAGGCAGTGGCAGAGCCAGAACTTGAATCCAGGCCCCTTATGACTCATCGGGCTACATTGTCCCCCTATCATGTGCCCTCTGCAAGCCTCCAGAGTGCTCTGGGCAGTAGACCCAAGCCACGGTGGCCTCCCGCTTATATCCACTAATAAGCACTGTTACATCTGGTCTGTGTCTTGTTGAGCATCCCTCACTGAGCACTCAACCTGAGCATCTCAAGAAGCCTGAGTTCCAACCCAGTGACTCCCCTGCATACCCCTCCCTCCTAGCTGCCATCTTGAGCTGCTTTGCACCTTTCAGGGTGACGACGACTGTGCCCTGGTCCACGCCCCCTGTGAGCTGAGTAGCTGAGTCTAAGGAAATGCAGCAGTCAATTTCTAATGCTGAACTTCAGGCCAAACTCACCATGTGCCTCTATTTTGTCCTTTCATTTTGGAGCTGTCCCCAGTGTAAATGATCCATGGGTTTATGTTTTCAAGCATTTTCAGAAAATAGCAAATTTACATCCTACGTAACTCACAGAAGTTTTCAGATGAAGTTTTTGTGGTCTCGTTGAAAGAATTGATGCCACACAGACCTGGGTTCACTTCCTGCACTGCAGCCTTGTGTGATCTGGGGCAAGTTACTCAACCCCTCTAACCCTCAGCTTCCTTATCTGGAAAAAAAGGAGGCATAATCTCCTCCTCGAAGGGCAGTTGCTGGCTTAGGGATTAAATGAATGGATGTCTGTCCTCCCTTTTCTCAGATCACCTTATTTGAAATTGCAATCAACAACCTCCACCTGCACTCCTCATCCATCCCCCTTTGCTGTTTTATTTTTACAGAGTACTTACCACCTTGTAGCACGCTCTGTCCTCCACTCATTATATGTGGTGTCTGTCTCTCACCACTAGACTGTCAGCTCCATGAGGGCAGGGATTTTCATCTGTTCTGCTCACTGCTGTGCCCACAGCAATCATGACAGTGCAAGAAGTCAATCTACCTTGTTAATGAATGAACCCATGACTACTGCCTGCTACAGTGTGGGTGTTCAGAAAGGGTGGTCCCTTCACACTGCCGAAGGATTATTCTTCCTGCATGGTGAGCTGTGGTGGCCAAAGCATTAATTTTTTTAACATTCTAAAAAATAAATAATGAACTCAATACAGAGGAAGGAGTGAGAGAAAAGAGGGAGGGATGGAAGGAGGGAGAGAGAGATGGAGAGAAAGAGAGAGAGGAAGAGAGACTGAACGCATAAAGGACAATAGTAAAAAAGATAATGGAAACAAAAAGTGCTTGGAGAGAAAACAAATGCCTGAGAAGAAAGCGCCGGGGGTGCAAGTCCTCTAAATAGATCCTGGCCACACATTCCTCCCTCCACACCATCTAAAGTGTCTGTCACAGATCCTGGGGGAGAGCTTCCCTTGAGTGTTCGCTTTCAGGTTGAGGGGAGGAGAAGATATAAATCCAGACTGATAATGCAAGAAATATTTCATCAAAATGCAATGTCTCCTTTTAACCTCAAATATAAGTATTTTGGTCAAAAACCCATATTCAAACGCAATAGGCATTGTACGTTTCCAGGTTAGTTCGCAGCCATAGATGGGACAATTCCTTCACTCATTTATTTTATTGGTGAAATCTTTCATGAGCCCCTGTAAAGCGCCAAGCACTAGGCCATGAGGTGAGAACATCATAGGAAGCAGCGTCCTTCAGGGTCACTGCCCTTGTTGAACCCCGATTCACATTATTTGAATCCCAATTCACATAATCTCACATGTATATAAATTACAGCTCTGATAAGTGCTATTCACAGGAGATGCATGAGACGTGAGCTCATAATACTGGGATTCTAGCTAACCAGGGAAGGCTTCCCTGAGGAGGTGAGATGGGAGTGAAGACCTGAAGGATGAATAGGAGTTAATCCAGGTGAAGAGAGGAAGAAAGGACATTCCAGATCGGAGGGCAGCATGTCCAGAGATAGGCAAGGAAGGAATGAGACAAGTACCAAGAGAAGGCCAGGGTGGATAGGAAACTGAGAGGGGTGGGGGTGGGGGAGTGGCAGGGTGGTGATGCTGGATGGGGTGGGAGGGGCAAGTGGAAGTGGTCAGGACCCAAAGGGCTTTGTTAGTCTTGTTAAAGGGTACTGTTCTGTTATGTTTTTTGGCTTCTTGCTTATAAGCTGTGTGACCTTGGGTTAGTCAATTCTGTCTCTGTGACTTATACTCACCTACAGAATGGGGATAAAAATACCTGCCTTTATAGTTGTTGTAAGGATTAGAGCAGCTGTTTCCTTTTTTTCCTTCCTTTCTTTCTTTCTTTTTTTAAGAGACAGAGTCTCACTCTTTCACCCAGGCTAAAGTGCAGTGGCATGATCATAGCTCACTGCAGCCTTGAACTCGAGGGCTCGAGTGATCCTCCCGCCCCAGTCTTTGAAGTAGCTGAGAAGACAGGCGCAAACCACCACACCGGGCTCATTTTTAAGTTTCTTGTAGAGATGAGGTGTCACTATGTTTGCCAGGCTGGTCTCGAACTCCTGACCTCCAGTGATCCTCTGACCTGAGCCTCCCAAAGTGCTGGGAGTACAGGAGTGAGCCTCTGTGCCTGGCTCTTTTCCTGCTTTGCCATGCTGCTTTTGCTTCCACGCCGATCTGAATACAGTGGTTTCTTAGGCTTCTCAGCTACCCATGACAGTTCAGAGAAGGGTAGAAATAGACTCAAATAACTTTCAATCAACAAAATTTAAAAATGTGTTGACAGTGGGTGCCCACCCTTTGTGAAACCTAGGCAGGCAGTGGTGAACAAGTTCCTAAGCCTGCTTCCAAGACCCTCCAGGGGAGTCCTAGCAGGGGACCCTAAAGAATAAGAATCTTGCAAAATGGCTCTGTTTCATCCTAAACATTTGAGACAGCCCCATACCCTAGTGCCACCTCTCCTTATTACCCTCCCACAAATTCAGAGAGATTCTTGGCATATTTTACAATCAGTTAGAATTATCGAGGATTTCAGCTGCAATTTGAATGAGGCTCAGTTATAACACCAGATTTTTTGAAAATAGGAATAAGAGATGTTAACTGTGCTCCCCAATGCCAGGAAATGCATGTCACTAGCTGTGGGATTGCTGGTGAGCTGCGATGGCCTAGCCAGCCCCCAGTCCTTTCTCCTGGGTACATAAAAGGCTTTATTCTCCCAGTTCCATATTCTCTCAGTTCTAAGACACCGCTAATTGTAAAATGACCTGTCTACCAAAAACAGCCTTCAGGGGAGAGGGGGACAAATTTAATGTTCCACATTAATTATAAAATACACTCTAATTTCAAAAATCTTGCAACTTAAAATACGAGCCTTAGAATCAAAAGAAGACGGTCAGCTATCTTGCTGCAGGGAGAAACGTAGGCAGGGTGCTAAGAAAGCCCAGAGGATTTCTCCAGCATGCAGCTGGTGCCTGCCCCGTGACTCAGGAAGCAGCATAGAGCAGAATGTGGCCTTACCAGCAACTTGCTTGAGGAGGAAAAGGGTGATGGTTGCTCTTTTCCAACAACTGTTCCCGAGTATTTGCCAGGTACTGTGTGGGACTCTAGGATAGAGTTGAAAGACTCAATCTGTGCCCTCAAGGAATTCAGTCTAGTAGAGGAGATACCCCAGTGAACAGACAATGATAACTGCACAGCATGAAATGTACGCACAGGGGATTCTGGGAGCACAGGGATTGGGGAGGAAGGGATGCCAGGGAGGACTGAGTTCTCAAGGATGCAGAGTATGGGTGAGCAAGCTAAGGAAAGAAAGAGCACTTCAGACAGCAGGAACAGCATGTGCAGAAACAGATGCCCATATGTTGGGCATTGGCAATGCCAATGGTCCCATGGAAGGTAGAAAGCAGAAAGGGGTGAGGCTGGAAGGCAGCACAGATGTGACCCCAAAGGCACAGAAATGCCTCACAGAGACATTTGTGTTTCAGCATGAAAGAAAAGGGAAGCCCAGAAAGGTAGGAAGCCAGGTAGGATCATCACAACTGGCTTTTCCACTGTCTAGGTCACTGGTTGTTGAGGGCTTAATGGATGGGATGAGGAGTGGGTCAGGGCTGATGAGACTTGCTGAGCAGGTGAGAAGGTGGTTGCAGTGACCAGGTGACTTGCACTAAGTTAGTCATAGTAAACAGAGAGTAAAGGGGAGAAGGGAGATTGTAAGTGATGTACAATAGAGGGACGTCCAGTCTCCCCTTCTCTTCTCACTTCCCAGCATAACAAGCATGACTGAACACATACTATGTGCTAGTCCCTCCCATTACAAATATGTGGCTACAGAAAGTCTCTATTCAAATATCACCTTCTCAAGGAGGCTTCCTGACCACCCTGTCTACAGTAGCCCCCCAAGTCCTGTCCCCTTTTTTCTTTTTTTTAGACAGAGTCTCGCTCTGTTCCCCAGGCTGGAGTGCAGTGGTGCAATCTTGGCTCACTGCAGCCTCCGTCTGCTGGGTTAAAGCAATTCTTATGCCTCAGCCTCCCGAGTAGCTGGGATTACAGGCGCACACCACCATGCTTATCTAATTTTTGTATTTTTAGTAGAGACGGGGTTTTGCCATGTTGGCCAGGCTGGTCTTGGACTCCTGACCTCAGGTGATCCACCCACCTCGGCCTTCCAAAGTGCTGGGATTATAGGCATGAGCCACTGCGCCTGGCTTCTTTTTTAACTTTGTATTTTTATTTTTTTAGCACATGCATGTTTCTGACCTGAGTTCCCCTGTAAGACTGGAAGCCCCATGAGGGCAGGGACCATGTCTGCCTTGTCCATCACCATCTCCCCAAAGTCTTGTCTAATTTCTGGCACTAAGAAAGTGCTTGGGAGCTAGGTGTCAAATGAACAAATAAAGAGATGGGGCCTGGCCTCTGGGAGTTGCCCACCTAGTGAAGGAGATGGGCTTTTAAACAAAAACTCCAGGCATCCATTGACCAGTCTTTTCTCCTAAGCTTGGCTGAAACCACATGCTGAAAAACGCTTGGTAACAAGCAGGTGTTTCCCCTGCAACCTGGGAGGTCCTCTGTGGTGCCTCCTGGGCCCCAGCTTTGCCATAAAAGCTGATAAGTCACTGCCTGCTGGGAAGCAGTCATCTTTTCTCTCCATTGCAATCCTTGTTAGTTACTGCCGGGCCCAGAGGCACTGACTTAGCAACCCTGGGTTTGCCTTTGCGGAGTGCCGTCCCACTTCCTTACTGACACTATATTCATTCACTCTCTCCTGAACTTCTTTGACCTTGGGTAGCCTTCCTTCGGCTAACAAGCATGCCAGGGATCAGGTACAAGATCCCAGGTGCATGGTTGCTGGAGCCTCGTTGTAGGAAGAATCCACCCGTTGTCTTGCCACCCCCTCCATCATGCAACTTCAATGCCCCAGTGCCAGCCTCTCTGACCTTGCACCAGGCAAAACTCACTGGAGACCAGCCACTGCTGACCCCTAGACCAATTCTTATCCCAGTTTTGCCCCATGGCTCTCCTGTCTCATTTTCTCTGCTTAAAGGATGTATGCACTTTTTTCTATCATATTTTCCCCCAACCTGGATCTCTCTATCTCTGATAAGGGATACATGTTATCCTTTCTCCTTCCTGAATTTTCGCTAGTGTTGATAGCTCTTGTCTCCATTTTCCTCCACCATGTTTGCAGAGTAGGTAATCCTGAAAAACAACGGTTCTGCCATCACTTCAATACTAATAGTAACAATAATAATAATAGGTAGTCATTCGTTGAGTGTTTCCTTTGTGCTAAGCACTGTTTTAGATGCTCTCCAGAGGCTCTTATTTAATCTTCACAATTCTGAAGATATGTGCTGTGATACCCATTAACTCCATCTTAAGAGGCTCAGAGATGTTAAGTAACTTGCCCCAGGTCACACAGCAAATGGCAGAGCTGGGATTCCAACCCAAGCCTGTCCAACCCCAAAACCTGTGTACAGCCTTCTATGACACTAATTATATCTTCCATTTTCTCTTGGCTCCCAAGTCTATAAATAAACTTCTTTCAGATGTTGAGGGCAATGCTGAACAGAAATGCTGTTTGTACTCCCTTGCATGATGAAGTCTTCAGCATTTTGAGCTTATCCAGGGCAGGGTGGGGGAATAGTGAAGGGACTGCCAGATTTCCTCACTGCTTTGAAAACAGAAGTTCCCTCAAAATGCAAGGACATCAGTCTCCTTGCAGTTTGTGAAGGTGCGGAAGTGAATACAGATACTCCCTCTCCCCCTGCCTTCTGCCCAAAGGCCCCTTTCCCAGCCACATCCTACTTTGTCTCCAGGACTTAGTGAAGTTGTCACCTCTCTCTGCTGCCTCCCACCCTGCTCCCTCCCACCTGGGGTCTGCTTCCTCCAGATCCCAGCATCTAATATCTTTTATGTTGCTTGTTTCCATTCCTGTGTCTTCCTCTAGATCATGAGTTCCCTCATCTATTTCTTCAACAAAATTTACCAAGTTACTACCATTGCCAGGTGCTGTCCTAGGAAGAGGTGTGAACAAGCATGAAGTGTTTAGGGGACCACTTGAGGTTTATACTATTGCGGGAGAACAAGGTATGGGAGAGGAGATAGGGGAAGGTGTTAGTAATGAGGGATGAGATTGGGCAGAGGCCCCATCACAAAGCAATGATTATACGGTGAGATTGCTCAATGTTTGTTGAATGAATGAGTGAGTGAATATAGAAAAAAGACATAGCACAAAGCTTGACATCTGGGATTAGGATGCCTATTTAATCTCAGATTTTTCCCATCATCGTCATCATCATCATCATCATCAGGATGCATTCTTTCCCAGTGAGGCCTGGAGTTCATGTCAGCTCACATCTGACAGCCTGGGTTCAAATCCCACCCCTGTCACTTATGAGCTATGTTCCCTTGGACAAGAAATATAGCCTAAGTCTATTTTTCACGTGTAAAATGGGGATAATCATTTTGTCTCCCTCCTGAATTGCTTGTGAAATTTTGGTGGGATGCTCCACGTAGAGTGCTTACCGAGGTGCCGGCACACAGTGAGCACTTGACAAATGTCGGGTGCTGTCATTACCAGTGGTGTGTTTATTATTTATGACGCTAGCAGTTGCAAAGGGTGATTGGCAAGCGAGTTGTGCTTGGCCCTCAAATGTTCTACAAATTGAAAACTTTCCCATAAAAATCCACATTTTTGGTTCCTTGGGGGGAAAAAAAAAGATTTTTGTAACCCTGGGCCCTATCCCTGCTTGGCAGCCATCAGCAAGAGCTGGGCAGCAGATGTCTCTTCCGTGCGGCAGGTGCCTCGCACTTCCCCCTGAGTCCCCACTGCTCCCGAGTGTCTTACGTGGCTTACATGGCTGCTCCGCTCCACCGTGCGTGGCCGTTTCCCGGCCTCTGTAGGCGTCGAAGTTTGCAAATCCTCCTCTACGCCTATGGCAAATTAGAGGTAGAGTCTTTGTCTTTTGACAGCTGAAGACAGAACTAAAATGACACCAGCGCAGACAGGGCGTAGCAGCTCACAGAGACAGAGGGAAGAAAGCCGTGCATCTGTAAATAAATGCATAAATATCCCACATTCCTGAGCAGGGCCTGTTGATAAGATTCAGGTGGAAGGCTAGCCTCATCTACTCCCTTTTAAAGAACGTCCCCAGGGTGAGTTGTTGCTTTTAAAGAGAGAGACGCTCACCCATTTTAGGTCACCCTGGCAGCTTCCTTTCAGAGGCTGACATTTTCTGACCTTGACCCCAGTTCGGGAAGCATGCCCTGTTGTGGTGGCCAGCCACGTGGCATGCTTTATTCAATAACTGAATGCCAGGTGCCAAGGCGACAGGCCACGCTGTTGGTGCTGGCTGCAGAGAGATGGGAGGGAGACCTGCTGCAGGACCGAGAGATTTACTACTTCTCATTTCTACCTTGGAAAGCTTCATGGAGAAGAGAGAAATTTCCATTTTCTGGGTAGGAAAAATTGTCCAGTAATTGCCCAGAAAGAATATTAACTTAAAGACCTGTCGTTTGAATCTCAAAGAATGGTCAGACCTGAATTAACTTGATAATTTTTGAATGTTTAATGTAAGCCAGACTCTGTGCTAGTTCACAGATCACAGAAACAAATCAGCTGCCGAGGGGAGTCTGCCCTTCCTCTTCCCAGTCTCTCTTGCCGATTTTATTTTCTTCGTTGGATTTTACGTTCTCTGAATTTGTTTGTCTACTGTATGTATTATTTCTAATTGGAATGTGAGTTCCATGAGACCAGGGTCCTTGTCTGTGTTATTTACCTGCCATAGCCCAGGGACTGAGAGCAGTGCCTGGCACACAGTAGGTGCTTAGTAAATGTTTTTTGGGTGTCAGAAGACACGCCCCTGCTCTGAAGGAGACCAAAGCCTAGAATAGACAGGCAGGTATCAAAACCGTTACCAGTGAGCTCAGGGACTTGATGAAGGCACAAGTAAAGGCGAGAAAAGAGAGCAACTTTATTTGAGGAGGTCAGGAAAGAGGTCCTAAAGGCCCTCTGCAGTGGGTTCTGCAGGACGAATAAGAGTTCGCCAACAGTAGAACAAAGGAGATAGGCCCAAAACAGATGAAGAAAATGAAATCACCCAAGACTGTCCCCAAAAGGATGAGGTCAAGGAGAGAGTGGAGCACTTGGTCTAGAGCAGCACCCTCAAAACTTTAATGTGTACACAGATCACCTGGGGATATTGCTGAGATGGATACTGATTTGGGGCTCCAGGTGGGGGCTGAGACTCCATTTCTGGTGCTCAGGTGAGGCTGATGCCACAGGTCTGCAGACCACAGTTTGAGAAGCAAGGCTTCAGAGCATGGCCAGCAGGTTCTGGCAGATGAGGATCTAAATCCCACCCCTGCCACTGGCGGGCTGGGCCTGTTTCTTTGCCTCTACCATGAGGATAACCACCTTCTTCCCAGGCACCAAATAAATTCAGAGTGCATAGATCTGGGAAAGCCACTAGTTCAGTCCCAGCACCTCTATCAGTCCATTTCATTTCAGCTACTTTTTTTTTTTTTTTTTTTTTGAGACAGGGTCTCACTCTGTCGCCCAGGCTGTAATGCAGTGGTGCAATCATGGCTCACTGCAGCCTCAAACTGTTGGGTTCAAGCAATCCTCCCACCTCAGCATCATGAGTAGCTGGGACTACAAGTGTGCACTACCACACTGAGCTAATTTTTTTTTTAAGAGATGGGACCTTGCTGTGTTGTCAAGCCTGGTCTCAAATTTCTGGGCTCAATCGATCCTCTCACCTCCATCTCCCAAAGTGCTGGGATTACAGGGCGTGAGCCACTGCACCCAGCCCATTTCAGCTAACATTATCATTTAAGGTTAAATGAGGTGACCAGAGATATAAGAAGAAAGAGTGATTTTCCCCGAGAGCTACTGTTTGAGAGTCTCCTGTGTGCTGGGCCCTGGGCTGAGGACCATGTGTCTGTCACCTTCCCTGGCTGCACTGCACTCTGTAACATGGGTGTTAGGATTCTCATTTTACCCATTATATACCAGTGGGAGTGTATGTTTCCTATTGCTGCTGTAATAAATTACACGAACTTAGTGCTTAAAACAACAAAAACCTATTATCTGATGGTTCTGGATGTTGGAAGTCTAACCTGGGTCTCACTGGGCTAGAACCAAGGTGTGGGCAGGGCTGCATTCCTTCCGGAGGCTCTTGGAAGAATCTACTTGCTGGCCATTTCTAGCTCCTACAGGCTGCCTCCTTCCCTGGCCTGTAGCCACTTCCTCTATCTTTAAAGCCAGAGTTGTTGAACAGAGTCCTTCTCGTGATTCTCCTGCTTCCCCCCTCACACCTAAGGGCCCTGGGGATTACCACGTGCCCACCCAGATAATCCAGGATAATCTCCCTCTCTTACAGTCCGCTGATTAGCAGCCTTAATTCCATCTGCAACCTTAATCCCCTTTCCCATGCAATGTGGCGCACTCACGGGTTACAGGAATTGGGATGTGGACATCTTTGGGAGGCTGTTATTCTGCCGACCACAGGGAATGTCTACCCAAAGAATTCCCCTAATGCCACAAGCTCAGAACAGCACACCTGGAAAAGGCTTTAGAGCTTGTACCAGGAAGGATTCAATTTGACAATAAGCCACAGAAAAATAAAACTAACAGTGGTTTAAATAAGACAAAGAGTTTGTTCACAACCTAGTGTCACAACCTTGGAATAGTACACCTGGAAGAGATTTTTAGAGATTATATCAAGAAAGATTAGATTTGATGATAAGTAACAGAAAAATTAAATGAGCAGTGTCTTAAACAAAACAAAAAGTTTATTCTCTTTCAAGTAAACAAATCTGGGGCTGTAAACTACAAGGCTGGCCTGGAGGCTCCACAAACCGGTTAACAATGCAGACCCCTGCTCGCTCCCCACTCCATCATCCCCACAGTGGGTCCTTCAACCTCACAGTCAAGTAGGGCTGCCAGAGCTCCAGCCACTGCCTTCACATCCCATGGATCAAGGTGGAGGATGGCACAAAAAAACAAGGGCAAAGGGCACCTGTCACCTGGCTCCTGAGAAGGCTTCCTAGAAGGTATCACACAACATTTTTGCCTTAGTTTCATTGGGCAGAAGTTTGCTACGTGACCACACATTAGCTATAGGGAAATCTGGAAAAGATAACCTTTATTCTAGGTGGCCACATGCCTGGAGGAAAACTCGAGTTTCTGTTGCTATGGGAAAATGAGAGAGGGAAGTTGACTAGCGGCGACTCCACAGGGCTCATCTAGTCCAAATCTTCACCTTGACTTTGAAGAACATGAGGCCCAAAAAGGAAGGGACTTGGTCATGCCACGGAGTCAGCAAGTGGCAGTGCAGGGACTAGAACCCCTGTGCCCGGGTCCCAGGCAGCAAGTAGTGTGGGGTCTCCAGCACCTGACACGGTGCCTGGCACGTAGTAGCAGCTCACTCATGCTTGTGGGACGGAAGGCACTGTGCCATTCCACCACCACAATATTCCCTCCGGGTCACAGCCTCTGCTGCTGCCTCTTTGAGGGTGGATAGAATCCCCAGCTCTGGGAGGCAGGCCCATTGCATGCCTGAGTCTGTTTATCCGCCTTCCTCCCTCTTACATGCCAGCTGATACCCTTGGGGGAGCTCCGGGCTCCCCTATCTCTCCCACAAAGTCATCAAATCCAAGGGCCCTTCCGCATGAAAGAGCTGCAGGATTTGACCGAAGAGAAGCCTGAAACAGCACCAAGAAACGGAGGTTTTTCCTTCTTCTGGACTTGCTCTGTGACAGGGTCATCTCCTTAGAGATGAGCCTTTATATCTGAGGAGGGTTGTGGCAGCGAGCTGTTGCTGTTGTCTTGGTATGCCCTGGTGTCCGTTTTGACATGGTGAAGGGATTAGACAGGGGCCCATCCAAGCCAGGAGTGGTGGCCACTCTCCCCTTTCTCCTGCCAGCCTCAAAGCCAAAGAGCCTCCACCCTCAGACATTTGCAGCCTCTGCCAGTTCAGATGTCGGCAAAGATCCAGACACTTCCTTGTGCTTCTCTGTTTTCAAGTATCTGTCTCCTCAACCAGGTGGCAAAGCCCTTGAGACATGGATGGTGTCACATTTACCTCTGTGACCGGCTGTCCGGCACAGTGCCTGGCACACCTCAAGCTCTTGGTGAATAAATGGGGATAGGCCAATCAGTCAGAATTAAATAGCTAAGGCAGGGGCTGGCACATAGTAGGATCTCAGCAAAAATAGTAGTAATAATGAACAAAATAAGAAAAGGAGAAAGGATGGAAAGATGGACGGAGGAAGGGAGGAACAAATTAGTTAGTGCCTTGGCTTCCCGTGGAATCAGCCGCTCCTAGGGTAGGCGGCTCTCCCCGCCTTGGTCCCGGAACAGCGGAATCCTTCCCCTGAGGACTGAGTTCACAGGAGAACATAAGAACCAGGCCGGAAAGATCTGTTTCAAAAGGCCTGTCCTCGGCTTGAGAACACTGTGCCTCTGGGGCTTCCCGATGGGCCTCGGCAGCCGAGGTGCCTGACACCAGGGTTACCAGGACATGGCCAGAGGCAGAACGTGTGGTGTGGGTGAGGTGGGGGCAGAGCGATGGGGGTAAAGGAAGCCAGCTGCCACCCCAGGTCTAAGTCAGCGGCTTTGCAGAGCACCAGAGGACAGGAGCCAGAGGTGGGTCCATGGTAAGGATGACGGGGGGCAGAAGCTCAGCATAGCGAGGTGGCACAGGGTGGGGAAAGAGCGTGAGAAGGCGGGCAGAGGCCCCCGGGAGAGATGGAAGCTGCCTGGGCGCGGGCGGGCCCCTCTCAGAGCAGATGGAATGCTGGAGCCCAGAGGGTCCACGACAGTTGGTCAGAGCGAAGAGGAACAGCAGCAGGATGCAGAGAGAGGCCTGCCCGCCCCCAGGCTGGGAGAGACACCCCCTGCCGCCCCCAGAAACGCTGCCCAGGGAGAGCTCTCTGAGACACAGAGAACACAGAGAAACCAGGCGGGGCATGGATATTTGTGGACTGAGCGATGAGAGGAAGCTGCAAAGCTTGTGGCTGGAGCCCAGGCTAAAATTACAGGCCAGAGTCTCAGACGGCAGGACCACACACCACCGCAGCTCAGGACCAATAGATTTTCCCTAGAACCCAACCACTTCCTGCCCTACTTTCTTCCCGGATTGATTGGGCAGCGCGATCCAGCAGAAAGAGCCCAGTTTGGGCATCAGACAGACCTGGGTTTGAATCCTGATGCACTCTGCCACCTCGGGCAGGGTGCTTCATCTCTCTGAACCACTGTTTCCTGTCCACCACATGCACACACAAAAACGGAAATAAATATGCTTCTCAAGCAGTGTGTTATAAAAATTAAAATAAAATCTGTATAAAGGAGTTGCATACTGAGTGAAGGCTCAAAACACAGTGCTGTTGTTTTAAATCAGGACTGTTATTAATCAAACACATATCTTTTTTTACTTTGTTTTTTTTTTTTTTTTGAGACAAGGTCTCGCTCTGTTGCCCAGACTGGAGGGCAGTGGCACAATCTTGGCTCACTGCAGCCTTGACCTACTGGGCTCAAGTGATCCTCCTACCTGAGCCTCCTGAGGAGCTGAGACTACAGGGGTGCACCATCACACCGGCTCATTTTTTTGAATTTTTGTAGAGATGGGGTTTCGCCATGCTGCCCAGGCTGGTCTCAAACTCCTGAGCTCAAGGGATCCACCCACCTCGGCCTCCCAAAGTTCTGGGATTACAGGTGTGAGCCACTGCACCCAGCCTCAAACATGTATCTTTAAATCGATCCCCTGTTTAAATCGAGCCTCATCCTAAGCAATAGTACCCAAGAAATCACTGGTTCAATTCACTAGTTATATTTTTAACATGCCTTCAAAATACTTAGCTTAAAGCTATTTAAATGTTCATCCCTATACCACCTAAATTCATCTCAGGTACCACAATGGCCCACCATTCACTTTGCAAAAGCGTTGTTCCTACTGATAAACCATCCACGGGGTTTGAAAGACATGGAGAGACGGGTGGCTCTTCAGCCCCATTACTCATCAGCTTTTTTCTTTAGGTGATAAAAGAGACACTGACATAGAAAGTGAAAAGAAGGTCAGAGGCCAATTCACAGAAGTCGCCTGGACTGTAAGGGCCTTTCTGAGGCGTCGGGAGCACTCGGTTCTTAGTTACAATTTGACCCATTCCTCCATCTAGAAAGGATGGTGGTGTGGACGACAGCCAGGGGTCGCGGGGGGTGGAGAGAGAGAGAGATGCTGCCTCCCTTGTTGACACACTGATTTGTACTGAAGGATTTTCCCTTTGGTTTCCTCCAGGGTGTTCAGGAGATGCCCCCTCCCAAGACACCATCAGAACAAGAGGAATTAGCTCTCCCTGTCAACCAGCAGGGAAGGAATTTCTTTCTCCACCCTAGAGCCTTCCAAGCATAGAAGGATTTACCTCTGGTAGGAAGAGGTGTTTTCTTGGAAGAAGCTGTAAGATTTCTCCATAATGATCATACCTGAGTGGGGGAGGAAAGGCAGTTTTGTCATAACAGGAATGACTGTCTCCCATAACAATAATGACAAAAAGGATTTGGGGTATTTAGGAAGGGCTGGGATAATATGACTCACAAGCCTAAGAGAGATAGTGTAGGATTTTAGGAACCCAGGTGCTGGGTCAGAGAGAATGCAGGCATTTCCTTCCTGACTCTTAGTCCTGACTCAATCTCTTAGATCCAAGGGCTTCATCCACCATCATCTATAAAGCAAAGGCTAATCCTGAAGTATTGGACTTTGACCCGAGGGTGTTTATTTCAGAGATCCAGCACTGTCTTGTTAGACCCTAAACTGCTGAGAAGAGACATAGCTACTTCTTATACAGTTGAATGAATTAACACATAATTATGGATATAAACTAATTTCAGAGTATTAATGTGGGGGCCTGGAAATAAATCACAGAATATCTTGTCTATACAGCAATGAGATGCCAGGAAAGAAAGACAGGATGCTGCAAAGGAAGCGCTGAGAGCAAATGCACTTACCCTTTGGAGGGCCCGGAGCGATCATGAGCTAGTTGGCTGTAAGAGCCCCCTTTGGGATGGCAGGCATGGGGGAAGTAAGCGTTCTCGCAATGAAGCTGATGGGATTTTAATAGCCAGACAGATGGCCTGAGAGAAAAAAAAAGGAAGATTTTTTTTAAATGAAGGAAAACACTTCCATAGCTTCCCTTCAATTAAAAGAAAGTGAGAGCCGTCCATGCCGGGAAGATTTGTCACCATTATTAATATTGTCAGTCTGGATTTCCTTTAAATAACTGTATGATTGAGCATCAGTAATAAACCAGGGCAGCATCTTCAAACAAATTAGAGGGTGTGACTCTCTACTGACTTTCTATTCAATTTTGATTGTGTTGGCTTCATTTGGTCTCACAATTTAATAATGATCCCAAATAATTGTGTTGTTATTATTCTTGTTTATGCAGTCAAACGTTTATCACTTATTGGATTCTTTAGTGTCCATCCTCCTAAGAACTTCAGGTTCTATACAAGTCACCATTGAGTAGCCAGCATATCTAAATTTGAATCAAGAAACCTGGGAAGAAGTCGGGAGTGGGGTGGGGGGAGGGGAATACAAGATAAAAAGGAAATGTTTGAAAAGAAGGAGAGGATGGAGAGGAAAGGAAGGGAAGAAAAACACTACCTATTGAGCACCCTCCTGTATACCAAAGGTTTTATTTTATCCCCACAACCACCATGCAAAATCTGTTTTAGGCTTCTCTTCCTCATTCTGCAGAGGAGGAAACGGAGGTGCTGAGAGATTAAGCGATTTGCCAGAGTCCCACAGCTAACAGGGGCAGAGGTGGGAGTCGGGTTTGGGACTCCGTCTCTTCACTGGCTTCACTCCTGCAAGGGCCTTCAAGCCCTGCGTCTTCTCCCCCAAGTCTCAGCCAAGCTGTGGGAACCCTCCCAAGCTTAGAAATGAGCTGTCTCGTAGCATTCCTGCAGTGTGTAAAGGAGCAGAAATTCACATAGGAATTCTGCCTCTTGGTCTGCTGTTACACTTCCCTAGTTCAATTCTCAGAGTCTCCTGACGGCTGAGCACCATGAAGATGGGCTGATGGTAGAGGGAGAGTTGGTCCCTGAGAGCATGCAGACTTGGCATCCTTTGGCCATACCAGAAATGGACCCAATAGAGAGTGGGGGGAGTAATTATCTACAGGAAACATACACATGCCATGCCTCCAGCTACCATGGGCTGGATCCTCTGGGATCTACTGTATAGTCCTTATTTTTTCATTCAGTTCCCACAACCACCCTGTATGGCAGGGTGGTGGTACAGATGAGAGAACTGAAGCCAAAAGAAGTCAAGTGATTTCTTTTTCAGGTTGGTCATTGGTGGTGCAGGGATTTAAACCCTAGTCCAGCCAATGGATTCCAAACACAAATGGTCAACTTTACTTCAGCACCAGTGTGATGAGTTTTGACAAGAGACAAAAGGAAAGGGTGGGAGAAGTTAGAAATGTAACCCAAAAATATATTTGGAATAAAAGTGGCTGCCCCCCAAAAAATGGATTTAATTCTGTTCCTGCCCAAAGGCTGATGCTCAAATTTAATTCAGTAAGCATTTACAGGATGTCAACAATGTGCAGATCATTATGCTAAAGAGCCAGGTGCTGACAAAGATTCAAATTCCCTGTCTTCTTCCTTTTTAAAAACTTTCGACTCTGAATAAAAAGATGTGCCCCTTTTCCCACAAAGAGAAAAAATCATGTAGTTGCTCTTCCTTATGCTATCACCAGGTAGGAAAAGTCCAGTCTCTGCGAGGGCTTGGAAGCATTCTCTATATTCTAAGGTGCTGCATCAGTTACTTTTAGGCCCTAAGCACTAAACCAACAGAAAGAAGGTGGAGGGATGAAGACAAACTAAAAGGGAAGAGCCATGGAAATACAACCAACAAGCAAAAGAAAATGATCCATCGATTAATAGGCAGAGAGATGAACAGATAGATGATAGATAGATCTTTAGCTTCTAACTTACTCGTGAAAAAGATACAAATTCTTAGAATAATAAAAAAAGAATAATTTTTCTGTTTTTCATTCTCATTCTTTTTAATGGATAAATGTATAAATAAAGAAGTTGACAGGAAAAGAAAAGAATCTGAGACATAAAGGCCAGAATCAGAGTTTTTCAGATGTGCTGCTGGTGGTGGTGATGATGGTGATGGTGGTGGTGGTGATAGTGATGGTGATGGTGGTGGTAGTAATTGTAACCATGATGCAGGTGGCAGTAATCATGAAGGTGGTGGTGATTGATGGTGACAATAACGGTTGTGATAAAGATGGTGGTGATGAAAGTGGTGGTAGTGGTGGTGGTGATGGTGATGGTAGTGGTGATGGTGATGGTGGTAGTGGTGATGGTGGTGGTGGTGGCAGTGATCATGAAGATGGTGGTGATGGTGGTGATAATGATGGTGGTGTTAGTGGTGGTGATGGTGGTAGTAATTATAGCCATGATGCAGGTGGTGGTGATCATGAAGGTGGTGCTGATGGTGGTGGTAGTAATTGTAACCATGATGCAGGTGGCAGTGATCATGAAGGTGGTGATGATTGATGGTGGTAATAATGACTGTGATAAAGATGGTGGTGATGAAAGTGGTGATGGTGATGGTGGTGATGGTGGTGGTGGTGATGATGGTGATGATGGTGGTAGTGATGGTGGCAGTGATGGTGGTGGTAATGGTGATGATGGTGATGATGGTGGTAGTGATGATGGTGATGGCGGTGGTAATTATAGCCATGATGCAGGTGGCAGTGATCATGAAGGTGGTGGTGATGGTGGTGATGGTGGTGGTGTTGATGATGGTGATGGTGGTGGTGATGATGGTGGTGGTAGTGGTGGTGACAGTGATGGTGGTGGTAGTGATGGTGGTGGTAATGGTGGTGACGGTGATGGTGGTGGTAGTGATGGTGGTGATGGTGGTGGTAATTATAGCCATGATGCAGGTGGCAGTGATCCTGAAGGTGGCGGTGATGGTGGTGATAATGATGGTGGTGGTAGTGATGCTGATGGTGGTGGTAGTAATTATAGCCATGGTGCAGGTGGTGGTGATCATGAAGGTGGTGGTGATGGTGATGATAATGATTGTGATGCAGGTGGTGATGATGAAGGTGGTGGCAGCAGAGATGGTGCTTGTGATGATAACAGGGATTGTTATCATCCGAATAACTACCATTTGGAACAACTCTTCACGGTGTCCAAAACCTTTAACGTGTATTACTTCATTTTAGAAGAAAAATTCTGAATTTTTCAAAACAACAACTATTTCTAACCAAGTTCCACCGTGAGTGTCACCAAAACTCAGCCAAGTTAAGAGAACAGGGAGAGCTGGAGTGGGCTCTTTCTCCATCACACGTAAGTGGGCAGTGACCTAGGGAGGAACAGTTACAAAAACGAGAGCAAGGCTACAAAAGCTCTCTCCAGTCTTCCCTCAACCAATCGCCTCCAAGTCTATTCACCCAAATCAGTCCCCAACGTTGATAGAACTTAATACCCTTTCACCTGAAAACTGTTTAGTAGATTTCATATGCATAACTGATTGTAATCTGGTTCCTAGTGGATAAATAAAAATCATTTGTGATCATTGAAACGTATTTATTTTTTAATTAGGTAGCAGCCATGAATGAAGAGCCCTCAGAGAGCCATCTCCTATAACCTCTCCAGGAGCCCTACTGACATAGAAAGGGCAGCATTCAGTGGCCGGTACATTTGCTCCTGCCCATGTTTTCTTATAAAGGACTTTAACCCCTGACTGACAGCCCTACCACACTTCACCGGAACTCATCACATGTCCTTTTTTAAAGAAAAGAAAGAAAGAAAGAAGGAAAGAAAGAAAGAAAGAAAGAAAGAAAGAAAGGAAGGAAGGAAGGAAGGAAGGAAGGAAGGAAGGAAGGAAGGAAGGAAGGAAGGAAGGAAGGGAGAAAATCCAAAATGCTGGCAGATAAGCTGCCAACAAAATGATTTCTTTAAAGAATAAACTAATAACTGAGTATCAGTTAAGGCACAGCCAGCTGTGACGTTTCCTCTGGCCATGCCAGGGGCTGCAGTAACTACCTACTCAGTGCTGTGCTGCGAGCATTGATTGGGAGCATTGGCTGTGTCAGAGGGCTTGACATTCCAGCAATGACACAAACCACGTGTCCTTGGGAAGACGGTGTGCGATGAGATGGATGAGCCAAGTAGGGTTTGAGAAGTGGGAAAATTAGGTCAAATCCCTGTGAATGTACCCAGGGAAAGAAGAGGCTGCTGCCGAAGGGAAGCTGTGTCCTTGGTGTTTTTAGAGAAGGGGGTGGTGTCCTAGGTGCAAGAAGAGAAGGTAACCATGGTGGCTCCTGGCCATCGTGGGGAAATGGAGGGGGAACAGGTGTGAGTGACTGGCATGGGGGTGGAAATGAGGTCATATCCGTAGTGTGGGAGCTGTAGGGGGAATGTTATCGCATGTGCTGGGGGAAGGATGGAGGCAAATTGGGTCACGTCTTTGTGGAAATGATGAGAGAATTGGGTCAGAACTGTGGGGGAGAAGGCTTGAGAATTGGGTCGAGTCTTTGGTTAGAAGGGGGAACTGGGTCAAATGTGAATGTGTGTAGAGAGAGGGTAGTAGAAGGTAATAGAGAGAGTGGGCTGATCCCTAAGGTCAGAGAGGAAGGGGAATGGGGAAGCTGCTTTGATTCACCCTGGGGTTAAAAATTGAGCTACTAGGTTCTGGCCATTTCCTCCTAATTCCATTGACTTGCTGTCTCCCCTTGTAACATTAGACTGAAAATAGGCTTTCCTCCTCCTACCCCAAATTGTGTGACATAAATTTCAGCCAGGACGGGGTGTCATTCATTCTTCAGCACTTTGCAAACCAACACAAATTGGCGTTTGGGAAGATAACCATTCCATCATTTTACGTGGCCTCATTTTACCTAGAATGCCAGGCTGGTGAGCAGCTGCCCTCCCTTGGGGTTTCAGCATACCACCAGATTCAATACCAATTCTCTCTCCTTTGCGACCATTGGCATCTCTGCAACACTTGAAGCCTCAAAATACATTTTGTAAATAAAAGCTGAGTAATAAGTTCATTTTAGCAGCTTCCAAGCTGGCTTTGTTGAAATCTTTGCAATCATGGGGCAGTCAAACCACAACAATACTCAAAATTATACTTAAAAAGAATGTACTTTTATTAATCAGCTGAACTCCTATTGGCTACTTGGTTGAATAGAACTATCTTCAAAGAGCAAAACTGGAATGTGCAATTCACAACCTTGTCTGCTGTGACACTCTATGGAGAAATATATTAAACCATGGAACTTCATTTGGTTGAACGGCACCACAGGCTCAACACATGCCAGTGTATATTTCTCTGGTAATTTCAGCTTCATTTATGCCCACGTGGGTTAAGGAGGGTTTCTGTTGAAGCATACACTCGTGACCTGCTATCTCCTTTGGGGACCTAGGCATGGAGTTATAATGAATCTGATCCGATAAGGCCACAATGGGTTAAATCTGCATTCTCCCAAAAATTCCTTTTTATCGGCATGAATCACTGTGATTAATGAGATAAGCTTGTAATAGGCTTCTGTAGCATATGGACCTCTCTGACCCACCCCAGAGGAAGACACACCCATCCAGGCAGTGCAGTGGTGGGGAAACCGCATCCTTTCCCGTGGACCCGAGAAAGCTTAAGGCTTCTTAGAGAAGAATAGAGATGGACACACACCAATGCTTCCTATTCCTTAGGTGATATTTGGTGGTATTTTGGAATGATGGGGATAAATATACTTTCAGATCAAATAATTTGGCCCTGGTTTTTCTTGACTCTCAGAATCTTTGAATGCAGAAGGATCTTGCAGATTCTGAAAGCCTTCTTCAGGAAATGAAGAGAGAGGGGGACAAAAAGGGAGTCGTTCCCTCTGCAATTCAAATCAAACCTTCATTTTCTTCAGCAGAGTTATTTTAAGTCATTCATTATTATTTTTCTTCTGAAGCAGGGGCTGTTTGATACTGTAAGATTGTTAGAACCAGAGAAGAGTAGAGGTGACACCGAAGTATTATTCTTGCTGCAATTTCAGATGAATTTGCTGCTGACAAAAGATTTTTAAAACACACACACACACACACACACACACACACACACACAATATTAGAAGAAGCAGAAAGAGAGGCAAGCTCCATCAGGCAGCTCAGGGAAATTAGGTCCCTACCATTTTTCCAGGGCATTCGCTGAGGCTGATCCAGCAGATGTTCCCAGGCAGTGGGGTAGAGGGAACAGCACCGGATATGGAGGCAGAGAATCTGGGCTAGAGGCTGTCTGCCTCTTCTGCTTCTGAGCGTTGTGACCTTGGTCAAGGCCCTTAACCTCTCTAAACCTCTGTAAAACAGACGAAGAGGAAAATGCTGACATTTTCACAGTGAGCCACAGCCAGCAAAGCTGTAGCAAGTTGAGCCTCGTAGCAGCCTCACGAGGAAGGTAGTGTGGACTTGAGGTTCCAAGCCCTGGGCTTCGCAGGGCAGCTCTGAGAATTGAACGAGTTAAAACAGGAGCCAGCTGGTGACCTTAGGCCAGTTGTTTAGCCTCTCTGAGCCTCCTATTTCTCATTTGCAAAATGAGTGATATTGCACTTAAGTGAGATCCTGTACCGGGCTATGTGCCAGCTGCATCCTGGGTACGCCATCGATGGTAGTCATTTGCATTAGTTCCAGGTGGCAAGTTCCACTCTCCTAAAGAGAGGGCCATGGTTCCAATCAGAGAATAATCTTCTGCCACCGCTAAGATTCAGGTTTAGAGGGACTTCTAAGTCAATGGTACTTAAAGAAAGGTCAAAGTGCAAAGTACACGTGTGTGGTCACAGCTACAGAGAGAGCAAGATCAAATGTGTCTGTGAAAACCCATATTGGGGCAGCAAATACCCCCAAGAGATATTTGGGAGGCTGGCCCTCCTAAGAGATAGCGCTGTGGGGAGCCTGCTCCACGAGGGGTGGGGCGAGACCACACAGGAGGCTTTGATGTCACACGAGCCAGGTGTGACCGGTATAAACATCACTTCTCACCAGCCCTGTGGCCACAAATCTACTTTCCCTCTACAAATTCAGGATGGCAGCCATGCTAACCTCATAGGGTCATCATGAGGCTTCAATACCTTAGCACAGACAGGGCTGTCATGGTGGAGCCTGTCAAACAGTGGGTGCTATAATCACTTTCCTATTGTTGTTGATAGTTGCTGTCACTAGTGGTAGTACTTGAGTAGTAAAATCAGCCTTTCTTTTCTTCCTTCTCTCTCTTTCTCAATACCTCCCTACAGAAAGTGAGAAGGGATGAAAGTGGGATACTACGATAACAGGTTAACAGGCTGGAGGCAGGAGAGAGGCACGGAGATGGGGAGCTGTGAGCTGGGCCCTCCAGTGCCCTGACACTGCCAGGACAGACCATGCCGTCCCCTGGTGGGGTGACATTGGAAATTTAACATAGCCCAGCAGGCTCTGTGGCTGTTGAATGGGACATAGTTCCCAGGATCGTTACCCATATGAGACTTGCCATCTTGGAAGTGCTCCCAGTTCTTTGAGAAAAGTCGACATAAAAGGAGAACTATGTGTATTGCAGGATGGAATCCACTCCCACTTGGCTTTGGAAACTGACCAGAGCTTGACTATTGGGTCAGGAAAGGAGAACAGGGGAGAGCACTCATATTTTTTTTAATTGGTCACCCACCTCATAAATTACCTTATTTAAGCCAGGCATGGTGGCTCATGCCTGTAATCCCATCACTTTGGGGACCGAGGCGGGAAGATCGCTTGTGTCCAAGAATTCAAGACCAGCCTGGGCAACAGAGTGAGACTGCATCTCTACAAAAAAAAGAAAAAGAAAAAAAATAGCTGGGTATGGTGGTACATGCCTGTAGTCCCAACTACTCTGAAAGTTGAGGCAGGAGGATCACCTGAGCCTGAGAGGTTGAGGTTGCAGTGAGCCGTGATCACAACACTGCATTCGGCCTGGGCAACCCTGTCCCAAAAAGTAATAAATTATCTCGTTTAATCTTCTCACTAACCCTATGAATAATGAGGCAGGATTTATTGAACACTTACTATGTGCCAGGCACTGTTCTAATGATTTACTTGTGTTATCTCATGTTAATCTTCACAACAATCCTTTGAGGCAGGAACTATAATCAAACTTACTTTACAGATGAGAAAACAGAGGCCCAGGGAGATTCAGTAACTTACTCAAGGACACGGCCAATTAGCAGAGGCCTGGGATTCAAGTCTGGCTCAGGTGCCCACTGTGCACCCTACCTCCCTCTTCCCAGTGGCATAGCACAGTGGGTAAGAATAGGGTCCTGGGACTCAAACTGCCTGTGTTCAATCCAGCTCTTTCAATGCTCTGCATTAGGCCTCAGTTTCCTCATCTGTAAAATGGGGATTAAAAGAGTCCTTATCAACAGGTGTGGGCCAAGTGCGGTGGCTCACGCCTGTAATCCCAATACTTTGGAAGGCTAAGGCAGGTGGATCGCTTAAGCTCAGGAGTTCGAGACCAGCCTGGCCAACATGGTGAAACTCTCTCTGTACTGAAAATACAAAAATTAGCTGAGCATGGTGGTGCACGTCTGTAATCCCAGCTACCCAGGAGGCTGAGGCAGGAGAATCGCTCAAGCCCAAGAGGTAGAGGTTGCAGTGAGCCGAGATAGTGCCACTACACTCCAGCCTGGGTGACAGAGGGAGACTCCGTCTCAAAAAAAAAGCAAGCAAAAAACAGGTGTAGTTTAAGAATGAAATAAGAAAGGAATGAGTTTATCTCCAGTCCATGCTGAGGAAGTGGGAGGTGGGAGAGGTGAAGTTGCTTTCCCATGGTCACCCCTGTCCCTTCTCAGGGGTGGTGGAGCCAAGAGTGCAGGCTGGCTCTGAGCCCACCACATGGCACCGTCAGCTGGGACCAGCATCATCCTGCAGCCTTCAGCAGGGTGGGGGCCCAACTAGGCAACCTCTTCAATGGCCAGGGCTGACTTGGCCAAGCATGGGCACCACCAGGCCTGTGTCTTACTTGATCATGCGGGAGGGACGGCTGCCCGCGGCACACCAGCGATTGCGTGCTATCGAGAGAGAGTCACAGGGGACCCCGTTACCAAATCACCCCGGCCGCCCTCAATTAAAGGCACGTCCCCACTCCTGACGCACATTGCTGCCTCTCCTGCCTGCCTGAGTGTTTTCACTTCCTGGAAGTGACAAGTAGAGCTGACTCGTGATAACTCATGCTTCATAAACTGTAAAGTGCTTCATAAACTGTAAAGTACTTTGTAAACTGTAAAGTGCTCTGTCCACGTGAGGGCCTCATATCAAGGCAGGAACCTCTGAAGAGAGAGGCCGAAGCCCCTCTCTCCTACCTGCGGTCCTCTGCTCTGGCTCTCAGCAGCAGCGAGTGTGGTGAAGGGGCAGCCTCCCATCGCTCGTTCCCTGCCAGCATACACTGCCCAGACCTCCTCCTTGTCCTCTCTCCTGCCACCTCTCCTGCCTGCGGTGCCCCTGATGGTGCTTTGCACTGAAGTAGCCCCTCCATGGAGGCACCATTTTCACAACATTTAAGAATTCATAAAAGAAATCAATGTGTATGTTCTGCGAGGTGTTTTCTTCATAGGCAAGGTACCATCCACAAAGGTTTACTGATAGTTCCGATGTTATTAGAGTTCAGAGAATTCGATTTCCAATCTTCTCCATCTTTTCCTAATCCTTGCTGCCTACTCAGCTTGATCAATTGCCTTCTTCTCTTTTGCTGGACCCATTTCCCGCCTTGCTGTCTTTGCTTTCTGGGAGATTCATTCCTTCAGTCCTTCAACACATTTTGTTTTTTTATATTTGGAGACAGGGTCTCACTCTGTCACCCAGGCTGGAGTGCAGTGGCACAATCCTGGCTCACTGCAGCCTCCACTTCCTGGGTTCAAGTGATCCTCCCATCTCAGCCTCCTGAGTAGCTGGGACTACAGGCATGCACCACCATGCCCAGCTAATTTTTGTGTTTTTTGTAGAGACAGGGTTTTGCCTTGTTGCCCAGGCTGATCTCGAACTCCTGGACTCAAGCAATCCACTTGCCTTGGCCTCCCAACATGCTGAGGTTACAGGCGTGAGCCACTGTGCCCAGCCTCCTTCAACACATAACTACGCAAGTCCCATGATGGGCCCAGCCCTGTGCCTGGAGATAGAAACAGCTGCAAGGCAGATGCCATCCTTAGCCCAAGAAGCTTCCAGTTCTCATTTGCTTCTCAAACTTTGGGATGCACAAATCAGCTGGCATGTGACTAAAGTACGGAATGGGATTCAGTGGGCCTGGGTGGGGTGTTTATGTGGGGAGTTGAATCATGTCCAGTGGTGGTTGGTGATGCCTTGGGAAGAATGGGCTTTGCAGGGATCCTGGAGAAGGAGAACGGACCTCGTGAACTGAGAACTGGAGGAGAACGGAAAGTGCTCCCAGGTTCAAGGTCACTCCGAGAAGCTGGGGGAATCCGACTTCTTAAGATCCAGCTCATTAGAGTAGCTGTTCTCAGCAAAAGCCTCATTGAAGTCATCCTGTGTGAGAATCCTCAGTGCCTGTGGTTTCCCGGTTTCCTCTTGCTCTTGGCCTTCCCTACCACCCCTATTCACAGTGGCTCACGCCTGTAATCCCAACACTGGGAGGCCAAGGCAGGAGGACGGCTTGAGTTCAAGAGGTTAAGACCAGGCTGGGCAACAAAGTGAGACCAAGTCTCTATAAAAATTTTTAAAAATTAGCCAGGTGGTATGGTGTGCACCTGTAGCTCCAGCTACTTGAAGGGCTGAGGTGGGAAGATCGCTTGAGCCCAGGAGGTTGAGGCTGCAGTGAGCCAAGGTCACACCTCTGCACTCCAGCCTGGGTAACAGAGAAACCCTGTCTCAAAAAAAGAAAAAAAGAAAAAAAAAAATGTAGCCCCACCAGGGCCCCTTCCTGGCTTCCCAATCTGTGTAGCTATAGCAACCCCAGCACACCAAGGTCCATGTTCACCTCTTGCCGTGGGTCTGAGGAGATATCTTTACCCTGTCTGAGAATGTGATGTGTTTCTTCTTCCCTTTCTTTATTGCCTTTTGCTGAAAGTTACCCGTCTTACCTGTTCCTATCCTCAGTCCTAATCTCTAACCTCTTATCCCCAAGAATACACCTCTTCTCTCTTCTCTTCTAAAAGCCTGGCCATTTTTCTTCCTAGCAAAATGTCCCCCTGTGACAGAAAGAGATCTGAGTCCCCAAATTTTGGGTTGCCTGAAAAGGAGGTGAAAGCTCTGCCACAGAGATCGAGGAGGCAGAGGCCCCGTGCAGACTCTTGTAGCAAGCAGCTTCCAGCCAGGCCTGTAACTTAGAACACAGATGCCTCTGGGTGTCCTGGGAAACATGGTCAACCCTCTCCCTTCAGTCAACAGGAAGGTCGGGAATGCACAGATGGTCAGAGTATCCAAAAAAATTGTTTGTTGGCGATTCAGTGCTTTGCAAAAGAATGAGATCCTAACGCCCAGATTTGCCTTAAGACACTGGGTAACTGTTTCGAGCCTCTCTCGGCTTGTGCGGTGGAGCATTTCAGCTTGCAGTCACCCGTCAGTCACAGCCCTCATCAAGCACATACCAATTTGAAGCAATAGGCCTCACGAAAGGGGATGAATTATTTAAGCCAATCAGCTGTCAATGAGTGGAACAATTCTGGGAGTCAAATCCAAGGGGAGTACAGAGTGATATTTTTCAGCCTGCTTCAAGATTGTCAGATTAATTTTTACTTATTTATTCCTGACCTTAAAGAGAATGTATTACTACAAGGTTAAAGCATTTCTTTCTAAGTATATAATTTTAGAACTTCGGAAATAAAGAGATTGGCTGGGTGCAGTGGCTCACGCCTGTAATCCCAGCACTTTGGGAGGCTGAGGCAGGCAGATCATGAGATCAGGAGTTCAAGACCAGCCTGGCCAACATGGTGAAAACCCGTCTCTACTAAAAATACAAAAATTAGCTGGGTGTGGTGGTGCATGCCTGTAATCCCAGCTACTCAGGAGGCTGAGGCTCAAGAATCGCTTGAACCCAGGAGGCAGAGGTTGCAGTGAGCCAAGATCATGCCACTGCACTCCAGCCTGGTGAGAGAGCAAGACTCCGTCTCAAAAAAAAAAAAAAAAGAATATAGACTTTGGACCTGGCCTGCAATTCTGACTGCCTTGCTCTTTGGACAGATGACTTTAATTCTCTGAGCCTCAGTTTCCCCTTCAGAGAACTAGGTATGATGAGGCTAATTTAAAAAATTAGCAGAGTGCAGTGATGTTCCCCTGTAGTCTCAGCTACTTGAGGGACTGAGGTGGGAGGATCGCTTGAGCCCGGGAGGTTGAGATTGCAGTCAGCCAAGGTCATGCCTCTGCACTCCAGCCTGGGCAACAGAGGGATCCAGTCTCAAAAAACAAAACAAAACAAAAAAACAAAAACAAAACACACAAAAAAACAAAAAACAGGTAGCCCTACCAGAGCCACTTCCTGGCTTCTAGAACACTGCCCTGGAGGTGCAGTGTTATATACATTTTAAGTAAAGCCTACCACAAAAGCTCAATTTTTTTGGCTATCATGATAATCAATACTTTTATAACAGCCCAGAGAGACTGTCAGTTTATAAAGATACAAATTCTAAAATAGACCCTTCCAAACAAGCCAATCAGCCCAAAGATGCTAAGCTATCATCTATATTTATATTTTATATTTCATTTTGTTTGTAATTAACAGCATAACTTGTTAGGTCCCAAAAGCTGGGATGATGGAGAATTGGGTTTCAAAAAATGAACTGGCCCTAATCTACTGGTTTTTCCTGAATTCTCTTTTCATATTTGCCCTTTAGCCAGCTGCCCATCTGCATCTAGCCCAGCATCCAACGCTGCTCACAGTATCTGGCACACAGTAAAAAGTTTACTAAATGTCTGCTGTCGATGTTTTGAATGAATGAAGTTTGTAAGGGGAATCTTATAGTTAGTTAGATCAGGGCTGAGGCACAGAGAGAATTGGATCCTGGCATTCAAATCATTCATAATCTAAATATGGAAAGAAGCTGGGCATGCTGGCTCACACCTGTAATCCCAGCATTTAGGAGGCCAAGGCGGGTGGATCATCTTGAGGTCAGGAGTTTGAGACCAGCCTGGCCAACATGGCAAAACCCCATCTCTACTAAAAACACAAAAATTCACTGGGCGTGGTGTTGGGCACCTGTAATCCCAGCTACTCCGGAGGCTGAGACAGGAGAATTGCTTGAACCCGGGAGGCGGAGGTTGCAGTGAGCTGAGATCTCACCATTGCACTCAAGCCTGGGCAACAGAGTGAGACCCTGTCTCAAAAAGAAAGAGAGAGACAGAGAGAGAATGAAATTTTAATGAAGAGAAAAGAAAAACGATTAACTATGGAAAGAGAGTGCTGACATGAGCACACACACTCATGCGCGTACATGCACAAACACACAATCACTGAGAAGCCAAACATTCAAGCGGGTGGTTTGGACTCCAAGTGCATCAGGAGTTCAGAGAAGATGTTCTTTTTTTTTTTTTTTTTTTTTTTTTGGAGATAGAGTTTCACTCTTGTCTCCTAAGCTGAGTTCAATGGCACAATCTTGGCTCACTGCAACCTCTGCCTCCTGGGTTCAAGCAATTCTCCTGCCTCAGCCTCCCAAGTAGCTGGGATTACAGGCACCCACCACCATGACTGGCTAATTTTTTTTTTCGTATTTTTAGTAGAGATGGGGTGTCACCGTGTTGGCCAGGCTGGTCTCAAACTCCTGACCTCAGGTAATCCACCCACCTCAGCCTCCCAAAGTGCTGGGATTACAGGAGTGAGCCACCACGCCCAGCCTCAGAGAGGACTTTCTGGCAGAGTCTAGACACAAGACATGCCTTCAAGGATGTCTGGGAGATACAGAACTGACGCAGGCAGGCATTCTAGGGTGGGTGGTGTGATGGTTAAATATATGTGTCAACTCAACTGGGCTAAAGGAAACCCAGATCGCTGGTAGAACATTATTTCTGGGTGTGTCTGGGAGGGCACTTCCGGAAGACATTAGCATTTGAATCAGCAGGCTAAGAAAAGAAGGCCTGCCCTCACCAATGTGGGCAGGCTTCATCCAATCCACTGATGGCCCAGATAGAACAGAAACGTTGAAGAAGGGCAAATTCACCCTCTCCATTTGAGCTGGGACATCCATCTTCTCCTGCCCTCTGACATGGGTGCTCCTGGTTCTTGCTCTTTGGACTCAGAGCAAGACTTACACCCGGCTGGGCCCGGTGGTGTAAGCTCCCACCTCGTAATCCCAGCACTTTGGGAGGCCAAGGCAGGTGGATCGCTTGAGCTCAGGAGTTCGAGACCAGCCTGGGCAACATGGTAAAGCCCTGCCTCTACCAAAAATAAAATAAAATAAAATTAGCCAGGAGGGGTGGTGTGCACCTGTAGTCCCAGCTACTCTGGAGGCTGAGGCAAGAGGATTGCTTGAGCCCCAGGGGTTGAAGCTGCAATGAGTGGTGATTGTGCCACTGTACCCCAGCCTGGGCAACAGAGCAAGATCCTATCTCAAAAAAAAAAAAAATTCACTCCCCTCGTTCTCAGGCGTTTGGTCTCAGACCAAATCGCACCACCAGCTTTCTTGTTCTCAAGCGTGCAGATGGCATACTGTGGGACTTCTCGGCCTCCCTAATAGCATGAGCCAATTCCTGTAATAAGTCTCCGCTTATATCTCTCTATATATATTCTATTGGCTCAGTTTCTCTGGAGAACCCAGGCTAATAGAGATGGGGAGGTACATGGGAGAAGGCAGGGAACCTGGATCGCCTGAAGCTCTGGCTTGTCCTGGGAGGCACGGGCCGTGCATGATCATGGTGAGGACTGACAGCCAGGAGTCAGAAACAAGGATAAGGAGGGAGAGAGGAGCCGAGAGCCCGGCAGAGGCATCAGGATGCGGAGCTGCAGGCCCCGGAAAGCAGTGAGCCTCCATTCCCTCCCCTTTGAAATGGACCTAATAGTATCACCTGCCTCAGAGACTGTGGCGGTATCTGAAGAGTTCATGCAGGTAAAATGCTTAGAACAGCGCCCAGCATGAGGCAAGAGCAGGGTGTGCTTGCTGTTTGATGGTGGTGGTGAACATTATCCTTGAAGATTTTGAGCCAAGAAGTAACAGCGTGGATGAACTGTTTTAGGAAGCCGAGTCTGGCAAAGCGAAAAACCAAGGTAATTACCAGATATTTAGGCCAGAAGAGAACTGATTAGCATAGCTCTGTCAGGCACACTTAACGACACCCAGTGACCTAATTTCTCGAAGGAGAAACACGAACCCTTGCTTTATGCCTCTCTGTTCAGAGGCGACATGAAGGCGAAATGTAGCTTTCCCTCCCCAGGCTCTTTGTCTCAAAGGGTTTTTCACCAGGGAAATAAACCAAACGGCCTTTCAAAGTTCCCCGTGGGTTCCGTATCTCCCATCACCTAGGCATATGCTTACTTTGTAATAATAACAGGTCATAAGTCCCCATCCAGCCTGTGCTTCCTCCTTTTCTGAGAGCCAAATCCATTCAGCAGCTACTCACTGAGGTTCGGTGCAAAGTATTGGGCTGGCCTGGAGTGGGGGGTGGTCAGAAAGTGCAAGGCATGGCCCTCACTGTCCAGTGGGCTGAACAGCTGTATAAACAGCTCAGAGCATAAAATCAAGAGGGGTTAGGGCCAAAACCCAGAGAGGGGCTCAGTGCAGCGCAAAAGAAGAAGTGGTGAGTTCCAGGGTGGACAACGGTGAGGAAAGTTCTCTCCAAGGTGGGAGCTGAGTCTTAAAAGTGGATCCCAGCTGGACGCAGCTGCTCATGCCTGTAATCCCAGCACTTTGGAAGGCCGAGGTCAGAAGTTTGAGGCCAGCCTGGCCAACATGGTGAAACCCCGTCTTAGCCACGGGTCATGGCAGGTGCCTATAATCTCAGCTACTCAGGAGGCTGAGGCAGGAGAATTGCTTGAACCCTGGAGGTGGAGGTTGCAGTGAGCCAAGATTGGGCCACTGCACTCTAGCCTATGTGACAGAGCAAGACTCCATCTCAAAAAAAAAAAAAAAATGGTGATCCCATGTTGCGTGTGAGTCAAGTGGGGTGGCGGGGAAGCAGTTCTTGCAGAGAAAGAAAGAAGAGCAAGGCCTGGAATGTGAAAGAGCAACGTGCTGGCAGGGGAAGTGGGCCATCCGGTCTAGTGGGGGACAGGATGGAGAGAGGTGGCCGTGATAGAGAAACTAGAAGAGCCACAGAGACCTTGAATGCCAGGCTAGGAAGTTAGGAAGTATGGTTCCCTCTGAAGGCAGTGAAGAGCCTCCACTCATAGGTTTGTTGGTTTTATTTTTTTTTCTATTTTTTTTATTGTGGTAAAATACACATAACATAGCCTTTACTATCTCAGCAATCTATAAGTGTAGAGTCCTGTGGCATTAGATACCTTCATGTGCAACCATCACCACCACCCGTTTGCAGAACTCTTTTCATCTTGTAAAACTACAACTTTGTCCCAAGCAAACAATGACTCCTCATTCCCCCCTGCCCCTCAACCCCTGGCAACCATGCTTCTGCATTCTGTCTCTATGATTGTCACTATTCTGGGGACCTCATGTAAGTTGAATCATACAGTATTTATTTATTTATTTATTTATTTTGAGACTGGGTTTCACTCTGTCACCCAGGCTGGAGTGCAGTGGCATGATCACAGCTCACTGCAGCCTCAATCACCTGGGCTTAAACAATCCTCCCACCTCAGCCTTCTAAGTGGCTGGGACCAAAGCTGCATGCCACTATTTACCCAGCTAATTTTTTCCATTATTTGTAGAGACAAGGTCTTACTATGTTTTCCAGGCTGGTCTCAAACTCCTAGGCTAAAGCGAGCCTCCCACATCAGCCTCCAAAAGTGCTAGTGTTACAGGTTTGAGCCACTGCACCTGACAGTATTTATCTTTTTGTCTGGCTTATTTCATTAGCATAATGTCCTCAAGTTTCATCCATGGTGTAGCACGTAACAGCCTTCCTTTTGAAGGCTGAATAATATTCCACCATATGTATATACCCAGTTTTGCTTATCCATTCATCCGTCGACAGACACGGGTTGCTATTGGGTTTTAGCTATTGTGAATAATGCTACCATGAACATAGCTATACAAATATCTCCTTGAGACCCAGGTTTCCATTCTTTTGGGTAGATACCCAGAAGTGGAATGGCTGCATCATGTGGTAATTCTATTTTTAACAGTGGCTATACCATTTTACATTCTCACCAACAGTGCACAAGGGTTCTAATTTCTCCACATTCTCACCAACACTTGTTATTTTCTTGTTTTTTGTTGTTGTTGTTTTTTGTTTGTTTGCTTTGATAGTTACCATCCCATGGGAGTGAAGTGGTATCTCGCTGTGGTTTTGACTTGCTTTTCCTTAATGATTAATGATATTAAGCATCTTTTCATGTGCTTGCTTATTGGTCATTTTAACTAGCACCTTCCTTGGAAAAATGTCTGTTCAAGTTGTTTGCCCATTTTTGAGTCGAGTTGTTGGTTTTTGCACTCATGGGTTTTAAAAAGGGGAGTAGTCTGAGCAGATTTAAAATAATGAAAGCAGCTCACGCTAACTGAGCATTTACTATGTGCCAGGCACTGTGTACTTGCTTCATGCACATTGGCCATCAATCCTCGTGACAACCCTATGAGTCTGGCACTACTTCAATCCGCACTTGGAGATGAGGAAAGGGACGTCTAGAAGGGTTAAGTAAACTGCCCAGGGTCACACAACATAGGAAGGAACAGAGCAGGCTTCGAACCCAGGCAGCTTGACTCCAGGGCCCACACACTCGTCATCAGGCTCTACTTTGCTAGAAAAGTCATTCTGGCTGCATGTGAAAGGCAGACACTGGGAAGAGAAGCTGGAGGCTTGGAGAGGAGCAAGGAGGTGTGGGAAATAAATCCTACAGGCTGCCCAAGTCTTCTGTGGCCTGCCTTCACCAGCCCTCTTTCCTGTTAACAAGCCTCTCCCTGTCAGCCTCTCTCCTCCATCCTGAGGTCCTTCTAGCAGGCCCTCCCACTCTCGCCAGCTTCCTCTGGGCACCAGCCTGGCCCTTCATGGGGTCCTACCCTCCCAATCCACCAGGCACCCCCTCGTCAGAGCTGAGTTGTAAACTCAAAAATCAATGTTTTCTGGGTCTATTCTCTTTACATCAGCCTAAAACACATGCTTTTCTCCCTGGAAATTCCTCTCTTAATTTTGCTTCCTTGTTCTGTAAACATTAGGAGATGATGCTTATATGAAAACTCTGTTTTATTACATTGCAGTCTAGCAAGCATAATCGAATTAGACGATGCCTTATTTGAGCACACTTCAGCTAGATGCTTCCTCCCCAACTGCACCACCGCTCTCAGCTCGGGTTTGTTAGTCGGCTTTGAGCAGTGAGTAGAAAGACAGTCGGCCTCAAATCTAGCTTCAGATTCCAGGTCCACAACCCAGTGTGAGGTCTTGGACAGGTTGATCTCCCTGGCATTTAGATCCCTAGCCCGGAAAGGGGTGTAGGTGGTGTCCATCCTCTTTGCATTATAATGCATCCTTAGTGTGATTAACCCTGTGCTGGGCCTGGCACCCAGGGACGCTCTCGAGTGGAATGAGCGTAAGCTTTAGAGAAACAAGGACCTTGCTCATCCTGTTCACTGCTGGAGCCCCAGTGGCTAGAACAGTGCGTCTCATCGAGTAGGCGATCAATAAGCATTTTTGAATGAATGAATAGGCAGAGAGATGAATGGAAGAATGTCAAAATATGCCTCTCCATTTCTCATTCTGTGCGTGTGTGTATGGGTGTGTGTGTGTGTCTGACCTTCTTGGCTCTTAAATCCTTACTATAAACGTTTCAGTTATGTTCTCTCCCCTATATGTACCTTGCAATTCCTGACTCACTAAGTCAGTGGAATTAGGCTTGCATAATATAGGTTTTGCCAGCCACCCTCATGTAATGTCCAGCCATAGGGGAGGAAGGGTGGGAAGATGCATTTAGCCATGTGGTCCAGAGGGGAGCAGCAAGGTATAAAAACAAAGGTGCTCATTATTGGTTGTGCTCCTTAATGAACTCAGGTATGTTCCCTCCTAGCCATGATTTGTGCTCGTCCCTGCAACCGACAGCCTGGTTCCTTCCGAGCCTCTTCAGGGCATCGGTGCCCTTGGTTAGAAACAGGCCCATGTGATCGAGGCCTGTGTCCTGAATTTCCCTGTCTTCCAGCCCCCCACAGATGGGAGCTGGGTTAGGGCTGCCTTGTTCTTGCCCAGGACACAGCGGGTCCCCATGACGCGGTCCTGCTAGACTCTGAACAGTACCAGGCAGTCATCTGAGGCGCCCAGGGATGCTGAGGACTCTGCGAGCGCTGCAAACTCTTTGGATGTCTGCTTCCCACAGCTTGTGGGAGAGGCCCCCTCGCGACGCATTAATAAAGATTAAAGGTCCCTCTAGTTCCTGTGATCTTCACCATGTCAAAGGGAAAGAGTCGTTTTTCTATCCTTCTCTCTCTGTCATTTATTAATATTGCAGGGTTTTGCTCTAAAAAGAAAAAAACTCAGGATGCCTGGAGAAGATGGGTATGCTGAGCGCTTGAACTTTAATATTGCTTTGTCATTTTATTGCTTGCTTGTGTGTGCAGCAGTCATCAGAAATCCAATTTCCCTGAGTATAGAGGGTAGGGGTGGCCCTTTCCTCGAAGTACCCCTTGGCGAAAACCAAAGACCTTTTGACTCGGAGATCCCCAAGTAGTCTTGGTTCACAAAAAGCAGAACTCCCTAAGTGATCACGCTCAAAGGGGAAAAACAGCTACTGGTCAAATCCGTGTTTTCTGAGCACGTCCTCCATGCCAGGCACCGGACCAGGCACCCACCCGTAGACCGACTTGGGCAAGGGTCTCCTCTCAAAGGGCTTGGGCTCCTAATGAGAACTTATCTTAAACCATGGAGGAGGATGGGATCCTGAGATACTTCACTGAGTTCTGTCTCTCTCTCTCTCTTTTTTTTTTAACTCTTATTATTCTAGAAACATATCGTGAGTGTTCAAGTTTCATTCAACAACTATTATTTGATTCCCTGTGTGGTGCAGGGCCCCAGTGATACAGAGATAACTACGCCAAGGTCCAGTAAAAGAGATGAGTAAAAAGAAGTGCATAACCAGGTGTCCCATGGAGAGCTAAAAAGGACTCATCTGAGTTCAAATCCCGGCTCCTCAACCGTGACACAGAAAAAAATAACATCTACGTTGATGAGTTGTAGGGCAAACTGAACGAAAGAGTGTTTGTAAGGGGCATGCACGGTGCCCAGGAGACAGAAAATGTGGAGTCAGTTTACTCCGCGATTATTATGTAGGTGAACACACTCAGGTATAGGTAAGCCCAGGCTAAAGGAGAACCTACCGATAGTGCTTAGGAGGGAAGTCTTCCTGGAGGAGGAGGCACCTGAGTTGAGCCTTAAAGAACACACACAGCTGAGTCAGGCACAGAGAAGGAGACAGACCTTACAGGCAGAGGGAATGCAAAGGCAGAGGCCTGAGTTAGCCTGGCGAGTTTGGGGACAGGTGTGTAATTCATGTCATGATTTCAATGTGTGGGTGGGTGGCAGATAAGAGAAGAGAAGGAAGCAGGGGTCAGGTCAGAAAATGGGATGAAGGAGTGAATGAACTGGCAGATCACTGATCGCTCTGCACCTCAGTTTTCCCATCTGTCAAGTGAGGATGTGATCGCTGTAACCGCTTCACAAGATGGCTTAGAATAGCAATGAGTCAGCCAGGTACAGTGGCTCACACCTGTAATCCCAGCACTTTGGGAGGACGAGGCAGGAGGATCATCTGAGGTCAGGAGTTCGAGACCAGCCTGGCCAACATGGCAAAACCCCATCTCTACTAAAAATACAAAAAAAATTGGCCAGGTTTGGTGGTGTGTGCCTATAATCCCAGCTACTAGGGAGGCTGAGGCAGGAGAATTGCTTGACCTGGGAGGTGGAGCTTGCAGTGAGCTGAGATCATGCCACTGCACTCCAGCCCGGGTGACAGAGGGAGACTCCGTCTGAAAAAAAAAAAAAAAAAAAAAAAAAAAAAAAGAATAGCAATGAGTCCATAGGAAGCAGAACCTGTTATCAACACACCAGCCACAAAGCTGCCTTCAAGAGAATATTGCTAGCCCCATTTTCCAGGTGAAGAAACTGAGGCTCAGAAAAGTGTTAAGAGGCTTGGCCAAGGTTCCATGGGAGTGAGGATGGAGACATTGTTCAAATCCAGGCAGCCTGCTTCCCAGGCCCATGAGGCCACCTTGCCTCCAATCCTAGAGCTTTCGTCCTGTGACAGGTTCTGGACAAGGTCCCCCCACAGCTAGGGGACTGTCAGTCTCGGTTACCCTTTCATTTGTTGACATGCAATGGAGCCAATTACAAAAACTACTCTGCCTTCCACCTCAGATGCTGTGGCCCTTCACCAAGGAGGCCTCCGACAAAACAGATTTGGGATGACAGGATCGCTTAATATGCTCGATGCTCTTAGGAACAGAGCAGGGTTCTGTTTTCAATGGCACACCCTAGGCCCCACACGGTTCAAGTCCACACTGAACCTCCTGACATCCCATTCCCATAAGCATGAGAGAAGTTGGATGATTTGTCCCATGTCACTCAGCCCAGAAATGGCCATGATGGGAGGGCAAGTCCACACTTCTCCCACTTCACCGTGTAATCTCCGACTAAGGAAGAAATAAATATGATTCCATCTAACATGCGATCTCAGGAGGCTGCATGTAAATGTTGCTCCCCAGGTGCTTGGAGGAGCTACAGAGAGTCACACCCCATCGGGTACTGCCTCCGACGTACATGGCAGCCTCAGCTCCCCATTCCACTTCCGGACTCCTCTAGAGACTGATAGGAGACTGAATCCAAGCCTGCTCTCAAACGGTGTGCCTGGGAGGGTCCGAGCACGGAGTTGATTGATTTCACGGTAATAGGGCTTAGCACCAAGGAACCTGCCTGCACTCAGAAAGCATGTGCCGGCACTGACACAGGTCATTGGCATCACAGCCAGAAGTCACTGAATGCCCACAGTACACCAAGCCCTGTGCTGGGTACTGCCACTGTATCTCATTTAATCCTGTAACAATCGTCTCCATTTTTCACATGAGGAAACTGAGGCACAGAGGAGAGTAAGTCATTTATCCCAAGTCACATAGCTAGTAAAGAAGCCATGATTTAAAAAACTTTAGCAGAGTAGGTTGTGAGTGAGGACTGGGATGAGGGAAGGCTCTGGGCTGTTATGGGGCAACCTTGCTTCCACGTTTATCTAACAACCCACACCTCCCAGCCCTGGGTGCTTTCAACTGGGGCACTTTGTGGGTGACAACTGGGTGAAACAGCCAAGCGCACACGCTGCCCCGCCCCGCCCGCCTCACCTGGGCAAGGTGGGGGGCCAGGCTGGTGGAAGGAAGGCCACCACACTGAAAGTAGCAGCGTCTTTGTGTTGAGGGGAGCTCAGCGCAGTGTGCTCAATTCCTCTTGAATCACATTGGCAAGAATTCCAGGAGCAGCGTGGAGTTGCCTTGTGATTTTCCAAGACAGAGAGTGAGAATGGGCTGGAATAAAACCAGCAATCGAAAGCAGCATCGGAAGGAAAACAATGCTGAAATGTGACATATGCCTGTGCGCGCCTGGCACTGGAGGGCTGAAGCCGGGTGAGCAGCCCGCAGAAGCCATGGTCACGGGCCCGGCTCCACCAGCAACTGCCCCCCGGCAAGGGTAGGGGGATTTCCTGTTTGATTTGGAAGGGAATTTGGCAAATATTTGCTGAGCAGCCCCTACATGGTGCCAAGTCCTGTCATGAGCACTGGGGACGGGAGATGACTCAGGCATCCCTGCCCTGCAAGAGCTCACGGCCTAGTGAGGGACAATGACACATAAACACAGAACCACATACAAGAAGGTGGGACAGGTCTGTGCCAGGGAATGAGAGCTGACCTGGGAGGCCCCGGCTTGTGCGGGTACCAGGAGCAGAGTCGTGGGGGGATTGTCCCCATCTGCTCCCCAGAGGAGGCTGGGCAGTCAGTGCAAGCTGGAAGCCACCAGCCACTGGGCTACTGTCCTCCCTGCAGCTCTGGTGGCAGGGAGCCAAGGCGAATGAGTCAGGCTCTTCTAGGGGACTGCTTACTCAGGCAGCCAGAGGCAAGAGGAGCTGTGAGGGCCTCCTCTCGGGGGTGGCAGGCTGGGGGAGGGGCCGCGCAGATATTCAAGGTGTTCCATCTGGCTGCTAAATTCCAGCAGTTGGCACAGGCTGGCATTTGAACACAGGTCTTTCTGATCTCCCAAGCAAAGCCTATCTCAGTACATCAGCATTTCACCTGTGTGCCTGTGTCCCCGCACCATCCCACCCCTGCCATTCCCTCCCTCCCCCGGCCCCAGAATCACCCCAGGTCCTGCTTCTTTGGCCCCACTCCTTCCTGGGGCCAGGTAATCTGCTGCCCCTCAGCCCGGGTCACAGGAGAGAACCTGGGTTTTGAAGCCAGGAAGACTCCACGGCATACCCTTCCTGGATTCATGAACTTGGGCAAGGTAATTTGCCTCTCTGAGCCTCAGTTTCCTCACATGAAATAAGTAACGTGAAACAGCACAGTGTTCACTGTGGAGCAGCCTTTGACCTGGTTAACACACTCCTTCCTCTCCTTTCCCGTCCCTGAGAAGTAGCATCAGGGTCGCCATGGGGGACAGCCCTCTCCCCACTCCCTGACTCCACGTGGCCCTGTCCCAGCCTCTTTTCTGACTTGGTAGGGTCGGAGCTTGTGCTGTGGGAAGACAAGTTGCTGCCCAGGCCCTCACCCACAAGAGGACAGAGCCCCCACCCTCCCGCTTTCCCTTAATAATGCCATAGAAATCTCTCAGCAGGCCTGTGCCTACACCTAGCGGGAAGCAGTTGGTATTTTCAGCCCACACCGTCTTAGACTTCTAAGGGCAGTCAGTTTCCTACCCACTGTGTAATGTGGTATTTCCTCCTCTGACTCCAATGCTTCTCTTGCCAAGCCACATGCTGGAGTGAAAGGGCATACATACACTTCGGAGAGCCACCGTCTGGCGCTCCCTCGGCTCCTATAACCTGCACACCCCTTCCTTCCCTCCCAGCGTCATTGCTGTCCCCACCCCAATACCAGGCTCCATCTTATCTTCAGTCTCTGCAGGGAGCCAGTCCTGACCACCCAACCTAAGGAGTCCCTTCCCCGCACACTCTTGCCCTGTCCCCACACCCCGCCTATTCCCCCTGGAGCACTATTGCCCTCTGTGATTACATTATGGTTTGTTACTTTGTTCACTGTCATCATGCCCACAGATTGAAAGCTCCCTGAGGGCAGGAACATTCCTGCTTTGGTCCCTGCAGTGTACCCAGCACCTGGGCAAGGGCTGGATACAGATGTGTTGAATAAAGGACGGAAGGAATTTAAAAAGAGATGGATGAGGAAGACAGGCTTAAATCCCACCCCAACACTTAGAAGCCCTGAGATAGTAAATTATCTAGCTTCTGAGCTGTATTATCCTTATCTAGAAAATGGGAGAAGTAATAACCACTGGAGGGTTATTTTTAAGGCTTTCTCATGTGTGAAAAGCCCAGCATGCAGTGCGTGCTTCTCTCTGCTCCTCTTCCCTCTCCCAGGCCCCATGGCCTCCCTGATGCCTGTCACTACCTGCCCTTATTGGCGAGAGGAGGACTTTCCCTTAATCATAAGGTAGAATCTGCCTTGATCTTGGATTCTTGTCTTGATCTAAAGTTCACAGTTCCGGGCAATCTTCCTTCAAATAAAGACTAGGGTATTTTCCCTCTATACCTGCCCCCACTCAAGTTCATGGGCCATTATTTTTTCACTCCTGTGGCTTTGTGAGGTCTTTGTTCAGATTTGTTTCCCAGATTGGTTTCTTAACAATGCCCACAGACAACGTCAGCAGCCCTGATGCAAACCAGTACCTGCTGTAATACTTGGTAATGATGCACTTATTATGACAACCTTAGAGGAACATACTGGACAAACCCCCAGAAGTGAAAAGTCTCTAGGCTCATCCCCCAAGACACAAAGCCTGTGCCCACTTCACAGTCTCAGTGAGCCTCTCTACAGCCTCAGACACTCTGGAGAGCTTGGGAGTGAACGGAGATTTTCTTTGCCCCAGCACCATAACCACACTAGGATTTTACTACCTGCCTGGCTCCCGGGGGCTCCAGAGCTCTCTGTGCCTACTCAATATTCTGGAACTACAAGCCTCCACTCCCTGAGCCATAGCAAAGGAAACACACAGACCTCACGACACTTTTGCTCATTACGCCACTGTCCATTTGCGGGCCAATCTTATTGTATCCAGAAAAAAAAAAAGTTCTAGGATTTATAAAAATGAAAACTCTGTAGGTTTTTAAAAATTATAGGCACAGAGTGTAGATCCAGTGTCCAGCCCTATCCAGCATAGGAATCAAAAATTTCTTAAGATGAACTCCTCAATCCAGAGAAGATTTATCCAATAAAAGCAATTCCGGCCCCCGTGTCCTCCAGCCGGGCTCCTGGAGCAACGTGCACACCTCTTCTTCTCCCAGGCAGAGCCCTCCCGAGTCCAGGCCAGGCCCCTCTATCTGACATGGGAGTAGCATGAGCTTTCCAGGGCTGGGACTGTTTTCCTTTGAGGCCGGATTCCATATACCCTTAAGTCTGACCACAAATTATAATCTCCTCTGGTTTCTATCCATTGTGGAACTGAAGACTTGTCTCACTCCTTGGATGCCTGAGTTCTCTTTGTTCAGTTATCCTTCCATGCCCAGAGCCACTGGATCTCTCCGGAAGAAGGCAAAAAGTCAATGTTAATTATCAACCATTAAGATGCAGACATCTCATCCATATACACAATTATCCCAGCACAATCCTAGCAAACATCAGAGACTGAGGCAGGTGCCACATGGAAGCAACCCAACCACTACCTGAGAGAGCTGTCTGCATTTATTCCACAAATCACTGTCGAGCACTTCTGTGTGCCAGATGCTCTTCCGGGCACTGGGATCCAATCATGGACAGAGCAAACAAAAGTCCTGACCCTCATGAAGGGCCCTCATTCTACTGGAGATAGGCAGACAACCAATCGATAAATAAAGCAAAATATAGGTCAGCTGGAGCTGAGTGCTGCAGAGAAGAATTAAACAGGAAGGGGGCCAGAGAGCGTTGGCCAGGAACGCCGCCATTTTAAATGGGGAAGTCTAGGACGCCTCACTGGTAAAAACCCAAAGGAAGTGAAGGAAAGAGCCATGCTCATGTCTGGGGCAAAGTCTCAAGGCGAAAGTAACAGGAACGTGCTGGGTGCATTTGATGAGGTGCAAGGAGGCCAAGGCCCCTGGAGCAGGTGAGGTCAGGGACGCAGCAGGGGCCAGAGCAGCTTTTGCTCTGAGCGTCGTGGGAGCTGTTGGAGGACTTTGAGCGGAGGAAAGTCATTTTCTGGCTGGTGGGTAGAGAACACAATGTAGGGGCTGGGGTGAAAGCAGGGAGACCAGTTAGGAGCCCATTACAGCCATCCAGGTGTAAGATGTGGCTTGAATTAGGGGTAGTGAAGGCGGTGATGAGAAGTGGTTGGATTCGGGCTGTGTGTTGAAGGTGAAGCCAACAAGATTTGCTTATTGATTGGATATGGTTCATTAGAAAAAGACAGGAGTCAAAAATGAGCCTGCGTTTGTAGGCCAGCTTAGAATCCTCTACTAACTTACCAATTTACAGTCTTTCCCTTCCCCAAATCATTCATTAGAACCATAACTGCAAGGGCCCAATACCACTTCCTGGAAACATTCATTTCCTAACTTAAATCAGTTTCTAGAAATCATAAGGTGAGTCTATTTATTAGATTGTTCCATCCTATACTATCTGAATGTCTTCAGTAGCCCTTGGTTATGAACCTAAAGATATTTGAAAATCTTAAGTGGGCCAGGTGCGGTGACTCATGCCTGTAATTCCAGCACTCTGGGAGGCCAAGAAGGGCAGATCACCTGAGGTCAGGAGTTCAAGACCAGCCTGGTCAACATGGTGAAACCCTGTCTCTACTAAAAATACAAAAATTAACTGGGCGTGGTGGCACACACCTGTAATCCCAGCTACTCAGGAGGCTGAGGCAGGAGAATTGCTTGAACCCGGGTGGTGGAGATTGCGGTGAGCCGAGATCACACCACTGCACTCCAGCCTGGGCAACAAGAGCGAAACTCTGTCTCAAAAAAAAAAAAAGAAAGAAAGAAGAAAGAAGGAAGGAAGGAAGGAAGGAAAGAAAGAGAAAGAAAGAAAGAAAGGAAGAAAGGAAGAGAAAGAAAGAAAAGAAAGAAAGAGAAAGAGAAAGAAAGAAAGGAAGGAAGGAAGAAAGGAAGAGAAAGAAAGAAAAGAAAGAAAGTCTTAAGTGAACTGCACCCATTGATAGCCTCATTTATTCATTCAGCAAACATTTACTAAATACCTAATGTGTGCCAGCCACCACAGTCTTAGCTATGGGCTGAATCTATAAAGGGCGATAAAACACAGTTGGTCCCTATTCTGCATAACCTTGAGGCCATGGAAGGGACACAAACATGTAAACTAACAAATTGGCATACAGAGTGGTAAGTACTAAAATAGAACTATGAAGAAACTAGGGTGGGCACATCAACAAGCTAGCTAATTGCTAGAGGAGTAAAGGCTTCACACAAGGAGGTGACGCTTGATCGAGGCTTTAATTGTTTAACCAAGACCTCAGGTAGAAAAGTTGATATTCTCCTTATAGAAACTATTTTGCCATAAGCCCAGTAGGCTACATTTGTCTAACCCTAACAAATTACAGACCTCCAAGTGGCTCAGTTCTGCAAAGAGTCACATATGAAGAAGTCAAAGAATAATTATAAAGGAATTCCAATCCAAACTCTACTTATAAGAGCATTGAAAAGGACACAATTTCTAGCCCACAGAGACATTTCTCACTTCTAGAGCCTCCTCCAGCAAACGCCAAAATTCCCCAGTCCGGCCCCAGCATTCTGTTTTCCCCCCTCCCAAATCACAGCTCCGCTTAGTCAAGATGGACTTGGGTTTCCTCCATCATCTTTTCCCTTTTTTTTAATGCCTCTCTGCTCCTATCCACACTTTTCCTGACTCTGCAAAACAAAGATTCGGACACCAGTTTGGCAAAAAACTAAATTAGGATAGGAACAGCAAGAATACGTCCCAAAACATTTGCCTAAAGGAGCTGAGAACTTGTTTTCGATAACTAGAAAAGAAATGTAATAATCTGAAGTTCTAGAAGATCCTCATGAAACTCTTGTAGATGAAGATATCTCTGACTCCATAGCAAGTCTGAATTAAATTGGAACTTTTTTTTATGCGTCTGAAGTTAAAACACCTCTTCTCAATAGCCTGCCAAATCCGGCTTCTGACTTTTGACTCTTAAGAGACACAGCTTTTCCCACAGTCTCTCAAAATATATGTGCCAAAGAGCAGTGTCATAATGAACTTCTTATAAGTATGGGCTTTAAAACTACTAAAGAGGCTGTGCACAGTGGGTCACACCTGTAATTTCAGCACTTTTGGAGGCCAAGGCAGGAGGATCACTTGGGCCCAGGAGTTCAAGACCAGACTGTGCAACATAGGGAAACTCTGTCTCTACCAAAAAAAAAAATTAATAAATTAGCCAGGCGTGGTGGCCTACGCAAGTGATCCTATGAAGTTGAGGCTTCAGTGAGCTGTGATCAAGCCACCGCACTCCAGCCGGGGTGAGAGTGAGACCTTGTCTTGAAACACACGCACACACAACTACAAGAAGAAAGAGAAACATGGAATAAAGTATACCCGCATTCTTAGTACAAACAGATTGAAGAGGGATTAAAAAAAACATTCCTCAAAGAGAAAGATTGGCTCTCTTGAGAATATGGGGAATATAATTTATTTGAGGCAGGTGTGGATTTTGTCCACAGTGGTTGCATGTAGGAAAGCTGTGTTCCTTTTTTTGTTCTGAAATCAATTAACTCTAACTCTGAAAGTACCCCCCAAATGCGCACATACATAAACACACACACACACACACACACACACACACAGAGACACACACACACACACACAAACACACTGTACTTACCGGAGTAGCAAAAAAAAAAAAAAAAATCTAACGTCTGTCATGTTTTCAAGAGGATTCTTCCTCTCTCTCTTATAATGTGGGAATCCTGGAGGTCTTACACCATCAAGAACCTCCAAGAAAGGGTCTGTAGTTCTTCAGGTCATCTCTTGCCCATGCCCTCCTGGTCCTGAAGGTCCCACAGGCTTGGACACAGGGGACTGGCCCAGGCTGGGAACCCAGTGCCAGGGTTCCCAGAGATTCCAGAGCCTTCCATGTCTGCAGACACCTGTGGCCTCTGCAGATTGGCTCCCTTGACCCGTCCCAACCCTTGGAACTCTTCTTACTTCAGATCATCCGGCTCTGTTGTTTCTATAAGCCGAGGCTGGACACCACAGCCTCTGGTGTCCAGAGCAGCCAGGCAGGTGCCTGACGGAGGAAGCATTCCATGTGGCAACTGAGGCACACACAGGCCCCAGCCCGGGCAGCCCCCGGTCAGCTCCAGCCAACTGAGGCACTGCAGAACTAAGGTCGCTAAATCGTCCAGTTTTTCAAAGGAAGCCAAATATTCAAAGTTTTATGTGACATCTCCCAATTTTTCAATGTTAGCAACTCATCCGTTTTTTGTTTTCTTTTGTTTTTTTGAGACTGAGCTTCACTCTTGTTGCCCAGGCTGGAATGCAATGATGTGATCTCGGTTCACTGCAACCTCCACCTCCCGGGTTCAAGCGATTCTCCTGCCTCAGCCTCCCAAGTAGCTGGGATTACAGGCATGTGCCACCATGCCCGGCTAATATTTTTGTATTTTTAGTAGAGACGAGGTTTCTCCATGTTGGTCAGGCTGGTCTCAAACTCCTAACATCAGGTGATCCACCCGCCTCGGCCTCCCAAAATGTTGGGATTACAGGCATGAGCCACTGCACCTGGCTCGAATTTTAAAATAACAACAACAATATGTAGGCCAATTCTGCTTGCCAAACAACACATCTCTGTCTTTGCCTACAGCCCGGGGGGACTCCAGCATGGGGACTGTCTTCTGACGGCAACTTTGCATCTTAGCCCTACAGTCCTAATGCCATTAACATGGCCCTGAGAGCTCTTCTGCCTCCTTGGGATGGGGTGTGAAAAGTAACTAGAGCAGTGGAGACCCAGCCTAAATTAATTGCTCACAGGGTATCTTGCCACAGGTTCTCTCAACCAAGCAACATTACTGAGCACCTGTTATGTGCTTGGTGGTGGCTTGCTGGGAAATGGGGATGCAAAAATCTCATAGGTGTGGTCCTTTCTGCCCTTACAGTGTCATGGGCAAAAGAGTCATCCAGCAAAACAGCACATTGATAACCATATAGTCCCTACTATGATAACACCCACAGAAAACAGGTATATGGGGGTTTTGCTCTTACAGTGGATCATGGGAGATTTCGTTCAGGGATTCAGAAAGAGCCTGAGGCCTGAGGGTGAGCAAGACCTAAAAGGGGTGAAGGATGTTCTGGAAATAAAGGAAGAAGGGTTTTCATGTGAAAAACAGAAAACATGTTTGCAGGGTGAGAAGAAGGCCCGAGAGACTGTACTGCTGAGAGGGAGGGCTGCAGAGGTAGGCAGGGCCTGGAGACCGAGCTAAAGACCTTGACCATCATCCTAGGCTCCTAGGAAGAAAGCAGTGGGGAATGGCGGGGGAACACATGGGCATGCCTGGAGACCAGCTGGGAAGCAAGTTACAAGGAGGTGCCTACACAGCCTGGCGGAGAGTGGTGGTAAGAACAAGGAGAGCAGTGGACAGGTTCAACATCTATTTAAGAAACAGGATGGGCACAGTGGCTCACACCTGTAATCTCAGCACTTTAGGAGGCCGAGGCAGGCAGATCACTTGAGGTCAGGAGTTTCAGAGCAGCCTGGCCAACACGGTGAAACCCTATCTCTACTAAAAATACAAAAATATTAGCCGGGCATGGTGGCACATGATTGTAATCCCAGCTACTTGGGAGGCTGAGGCAGGAGAATCCCTCGAACCTGGTAGACGGAGGTTGCAGTGAGCCGAGATCACGCCACTGCACTCCAACCTGGGCAACAGAGCGAGACTCTGTCTCAAAAACAAAAGAAACAAAATAGATGAAACTTGAATGCAGAGGTCCAGGAGAGGTTGGTAAGTGTCACGGATGACTCCCAGATTTCTGGGTAGTTAACTTGGAGGACTCATTTGTTCAACAAATATTGACTGGGCATCTAGCATGTGCCAACCTCTATTCTAGGCACAGGGGGTTACAGTAATATACAAAAAAAGACAAATATTCCTGCCCTCTTGGGGCTCACTTTCTAGTGGGGAGAGACACAATAACAAAAAAGTAAAATATATAGCATGTTTCTAGGATCAACTAACATAATTTGCAGGGCCCAGTTCAAAATGAACTCATGGAGCACCTTGTTAGAATAAGAAATTATTGGCCAGGTTCAGTGGCTCACGCCTGTAATCCCAGCACTTTGGGAGGCCAAGGCAGGCAGATCACTGGAGGTCAGGAGTTCGAGACCAGCCAGGCCAACATGGTAAAACCCCATCTCTACTTAAAATACAAAAATTAGCTGGGCATGGTGGTGGCCATCTGTAATCCCAGCTACTTGGGAGGCTGAGGCAGGAGAATCACTTGAACCTGGGAGGCGGAGGTTGCAGTGAGCCGAGATTGCATCACTACACTCCAGCCTGGGCAACAGAGCAAGACTCTGTCAAAAAAAAAAAAAAAAAAAAAAAAGGAGGAAGAAGAAATTATTAAGAATTTCAAGATAGCAACACAAAGCGTTAAACCAACTACAAGGTTCTTTTAGGCACAGGGTTTATGGGACCACACAGTGTTTGCATGCCTAGAATTCAGCCTCACATGCTACGTAGAGACAAGAGCTAAGGAGAAAAAGACATCAGGAAAGTGGACTAGAATGTTTCTAGGAAGAGAAGTTTGCAATTTTATATAGAGTGAACAGGGAAGACTTTAGTAAGAAAGTAATATTTGAATAAATACCTGAAGGAGATGAATGACAAATAATATCTAAAGAACAATAAATAGCAGATATCTAGAGAAAGGTGACTCAGGTAGAGGAAACAGCTAACGCAAAGGCCCCGAGGCAGGAGTGTGCCTGTGGTGTTTTACAATGGCAAAGAGGGCCAGGCGCGGTGGCTCATGCCTAAAATCCCAGCATTCTGGGAGGCCCAGGCAGAAGGATCACTTGAAGCCAGGAGTTCAAGATCAGCGTGGCCAAAAAAGTGACACCCCCATCTCTACAAAAAATAAAAATAAATAGAATGGGCTAGGTGCAGTGGGTCACACCTGCAATCCTAGCACTTTGGGAGGCCAGGGTGGGAGGATTGCTTGTGCCCAGGAGTTTGAGACCAGACTGGGCAACACAGTGAGACCCCCATGTCTATTTTTTTAAAAAAAATATTAGCTGGGTGTGGTGGCACATGCTTATAGTCCCAGCTATACTTAGGAGGTTGAGGCAGGAGGATTTCTTGAGCCTTGGGAGGTCGAGGCTACAGTGAGCTGGGATCGAAGCACTGCACTCCAGCCTGAGCAACAGAGCAAGACCCCGTCTCAAGAAAAAAAGTAAAATAGAATGGCAAGGAGGCCAGTGTGTTTGGAGCGAGTCCAGCCAAGCAGAAAGGAGTAGATAATGAGACTAATGAGGTATCAGGGTGAAGGGAGGCATGTCACATGGGGCCTTATAGGCCACTGTGAGGACGTTAGCCTTGACTCTGAGTAAGGTGGGAGTCCCTGTAGGGTTTTGAGCAGAGAAGTGACCTAACTTGACCTGTATTTTAGCATCACTCTTCCAGAGGCTGAGTTGAGAATTGAGTGAAGAGAGGTTGGTGGCAGCGGGAGAGAGGGCAAGTGCAGAAGCAGAAAGGCAAAGGAGGAGGCCAGTGCCATTGTCCAGGCAGGAGTTGGTGGTGGTGTGGACTGGGATAGCCACAGGAGAAGTGAGAAGTGGACAGTGGTTCTTGAGACACAGTCTGTATTAGTCTGTTCTCACACTGCTGATAAAGACATAGCCAAGACTGAGTAATTTATCAAGGAAAGAGGTTTAATGGACTCACAGTTCCACATGGCTGGGGAGACCTTACAATCATGGTGGAAGACAAAGGAAGAGCAAAGGGATGTCTTACATGGCAGCAGGCAAGACAGCGTGTGCAGGGGAACTCCCCTTTTCTAAAACCACCATATCTCGTGAAACTTATTCACTGTCACAAGAACAGCATGGGAAAAACCCACCCTGTGATTCAGTTACCTCCCACTGGGTCCTTCCCAAGACACGTGGGAATGATGGGAGCTACAATTCAAGATGAGATTCAGTTGGGGACACAGCCAAACCATATCACAGTTTGAAAGTAGAGCTGTTGGCCGGGCGTGGTGGCTCATGCCTCTAATCCCAGCACTGGCTGAGGCGGGCAAATCACAAGGTCAGGAGTTTGAGACTAGCCTGGCTAACATGGTGAAACCCTATATCTACTAAAAATACAAAAAAATTAGCTGGGCATAGTGGCGGGTGCCTGTAATCCCAGCTACTCGGGAGACTGAAGCAGAAGAATAACTGGAATCTGGGAGGTGGAGGTTGCAGTGAGCCGAGATCACACCGCCGTACTCCAGCCCGGGTGACAGAGTGAGACTCCGTCTCAAAAAAAGAAAAAAGGAAGTAGAGCTGTCAGGATTTGCTGGAAACAGGATGTGAATTAGCAAGAAGAGTCGAGGGTGACTCTGAGCTTTCTGGTCTGTGCCTCTGGAAGGATGGAGCTGCCGCGGCAGAAGATTGAGGCCGGGGGAGATTGGGAGCTCCGCGGAGGACATGTCACCATTAAGACATCTGAAGTGATGATGTCTAGTTGGGAAGACCCAAAGTGAGGGCAGAATCTAGATGAGAAAGGCAAAAGCCAATTTGCTGAGGCTTTGCAAGTCATGGAAGGGAGTTCAAATATTTTTCTTGGAGACATGGGAAATCATAGAAGAGTTTTAGGTACAATCTAATTTACTTTCAGAAGACTGCACTGACCATTGAGGGAAGGATGGATGGGAGGGTTGAAAGTGAGAGGACTTTGCATGGCGGGTTAGAGATAGGGGTTAAGATGAGGATGATGGAGTTGGAGAAAAGGGACAGTGTTAAGACAAGACTCGCTGATGGATGGGATATGATCGGTATTGGAGAGAGAAGAAAAAAAGCAAAGAAGATTCCCAGGTTCCCATTTTGAGCAAAGAGGGTTATGGCAGGGCCGTTTACTGAGATGGCAAAGGGAAAATCAAAACTTCAATCAGATAAAGAAATATTTGTTGAGTAAAGCTACTTGAGCTGGAAGTGATGAATGGATGTTCACTCAGGGGCCCTGGAGAGAGAAGGGTGAAGTAGGAGGTCAGAAGGTAGATAGTTCAAGGCAGAGAGAACCTCACATGTTCCCAGTGTAGACTTGTCTGGGCATTCTGAGTGAGGTTGTGCTGGAATAGGAGAACTGACGGCCAGAGGGCAAGACAAGCTAGAAATGCCGGCAGGAACCTAGCAAGAGAGGGTCGTTTATTTCGTGTTACCCAGAGCAATGGGTGTCTAGGACCTACCACGTTGAATTCTGGGTGATTTCACTGATAAAGAATTGGCAGTATACGATATTACTCTTTCTGTTGCTTAATTTGCAGAGCATATGCTCTTTTTAAATTTTTTATTTGCATTTCATTACGGGCTTCTTGGACACTTGCCATGACTTGATGGAATCATTTTATAAAGAGCTGAATTTATACTGGGTAAAAGATTGCATCATTTCTCAGGTTGATGAGAAGGACTTGCTGGTAGTCGAGCTGGGCAATGTTGTTAACTGGCTGGTGTGCACCTTCCCAAGAACCAAAAAATACATGTTTGAGCATAAACATTTCTCCTCTGGCTTTTGCTTTATTAGACAAAGATCTGACATTTATCCAAGAATCATTTATTCATTCAACAATATTTTTAAATCCTTACTTCATGTCTGAGGAGCCTAAGCGCTGAGGAAAGAGTAGAGAGAAAGCAATCCATTTCCTGCTTTCATGGAGCTTAGACATATACACACGTATGCACATGTGTGCACATACACACACACACACAACTACAAACTGTGCTACGCACTGTGAAGGAAAAACACAGGGAGCTAGGAGAGTGTGTGACTCAAGGCTTAACTAGCCTGGAGAGAGAGGGATGACCTGGTAACTATGTAAAAGGGGAGCAAGGAAAGAGCATTCCAGCCAGAGGCAACAGGGTGTGCAAAGTCCTGAGGTGGGACAGCAAATTGAGATAATGAAGGACCAGGAAGAAAGGCAGGGTAGCTAGAGAAGATTCTCAGAATTGATGTAATCAGATTTGCATTTTTTTTTTGATATGGAGTTTTTGCTCTGTTGCCCAGGCTGGAGTGCAATGGCATGATCTTGGCTCACTGAAACCTCCACCTCCTGGGTTCAAGTGATTCTCCTGCCTCAGCCTCCCGAGTAGCTGGGATTATAGGAGCCTGCCACCACACCCATCTAATTTTCGTATTTTTAGTAGAGACGGGGTTTCACCATGTTGGCCAGGCTGGTCTCAAACTCTTGACCTCAGGTGATCCACCTGCCCTGGCCTCCCAAAGTGCTGGGATTACAGGTGTGAGCCACCGCACCTGGCCCAGATTTGCATTTTAAATAACCCTTCTGGCTACAATGCCAATAAAAATTGGAGGAGCAAGAGTGACTGAGGGCAGACCTGGGAGGAGGTCACTGCAGGTGTCCAGATGAGAGATGACAATGGCCTGGACCAGGATGGGGAGGAGAGAGAGAGAGAAGCGGAAGGCTTTTTTTGCAAAGTAAATGAGTAGGACAGATGCAGCTATGTAAGGGACAGCATCCATAAGAACCTAAAATCAAGATATGCCAGAATCATTGGCCTTATTGATCATTTGCAATATGGCTAATCCACTAGAAACAAAAGCCCTCCAGAGCTGTGAGCTGGCAGTGACTGTATGATTTGAATAAAGAATGTCAATGCCTGCCCCTGTGATCAGACTGCCATCCCACAGGCTATAAGAAAATACAAAGTAAGGGCCCTCATGAAGTGAGCAGGACCTAGCTCATTCATTTATTCTTTCCTTCATTTATTATTATGTGAGAAATCTCAAAACATAAAAAATACTATGGGAGCCCAGAGGAGAGAAGCTCAATGTCTGCAGCTGGGAGGGTGGGGTTGTGGGGAGCCCAGGGGGAAGAAAAGGGTTGGGGGAAAGCTGATGAGAATCCCAAGCTGAAGAAAAGAGCATACAACTAGAAAATCTAGGAGGTGTGGTGTGACTGGAGCTCAAAGCGTCTGTTGAGGAATAAGAAAATGGCTGTTATTCCAGATACGGGTTTTACATTTTATTCATATAAAGGAGGCAATTATCTGCTCAATTTTACAGACTAAAATAGGCTTCTTGGATTTGATGGGATTTTAAAAAACAAATGTAACTGATTGCAAATCAATTTTTGTGCAGCTATAGATAAAACTTGGCTGAGGAGCTGCTGATAGGAGCAACGATAGCGTTCTTTTCTAATTCGGATTTCATCACCACTTGAACAGCTCGCAGACAAGGTCTTGTGTTCTGCCTCTGTGTACTGCTAAATTTTAATTCCAGTGAACTTTTTTTTTAGTATGCCAGGCGTAATGTCACTATCTCAAACTTGAGTTAGGAAAGAGAAACATTAAAGGACAGGGGGTAAGTTTCCTCGGCTAATGCTCAACAATACCCATAAAATAGTTATTTCTCCATAAAATGGGAAAAAAGAAATACATATATAACCATGGAAAGATATTTCCCAGATATAGGCTTGCTCTTAAATATTTCACAGAAATCTTTACAAAATCAAGTCAAGCCAATATTTTCTATAGCTTTTGGGGTGGGTGAGCTCAGCACATAATTTTAATTGTTCCAGATTATGTCTATCCCCAACTTCCTTTGTGTCTGTTTCAAGCTTTGATTTCAACCTAATGTTGTTCAATCTTTAGCATAAATTAACGCGAAGGATGTTCTATCCAAAAAAGTCTGACTCTATGCAGGTAATTTTATATTAAAATATGCATTTGACTTTTAAAGTTTGGATACACATGGCTGCTTCTTATAATGTTTCTTTTCACATTTGTTTATGGAAATGGAAGTTGAATGAAGGGGAGGGTGCAAAAGTGAAAGAAGAAACCCTTTATGTGCATTTCCCATTATGAGATTCCTGTAGCTCTAGAGATATAATGTTTCACAAAGTGATTTAGTATCCATAAATGCCAATTTGCAGAGCATTATCCATTGCCGTCAAGGAAGAAAATATATTCTCCCTCTCCCTGCCCAATAAGTAAACTTTGAAAACAATTACAAGCACATGTAATAATAATACAGAAACTAGCATTTCTTTTTTTTTTTTTTTTTTTTTTTTTTTTTTGAGACAGAGTCTTGCTCTGTCGCCCAGGCTGGAGTGCAGTGGCGCGATCTCAGCTCACTGCAAGCTCCGCCTCTGGGGTTCATGCCATTCTCCTGCCTCAGCCTCCCAAGTAGCTGGGACTACAGGCACACGCCACAACGCCTGGCTAATTTTTTGTATTTTTAGTAGAGATGGGGTTTCACTGTGTTAGTCAGGATGGTCTCGATCTCCTGATCTCGTGATCCGCCCGTCTCAGCCTCCCAAAGTGCTGGAAGAAACTTGCATTTCTACAGCAACTTTCCCTGGAGAATTTCTCGGTTGCTTTGCAAACAGTAATTAATTAGACCCCCTAACATTCCTGTGAGGGAGCCAAGAGGTGTGGGTATGCTTTGAACAACCCCCAACACTGACTCGCTGTCACCTCTGGGGTTGATGAACAGATGTTGTTTAAAAACTGCATAGCACACAGAATTCAACATTTTAGAACGTTAATGAAGGACTTAGAATTCTGAGATGCAACAGAGAATTGGATGTGGTGCAGGCTTTGGTCTTGTTATGTGAATTTGATAGAAGGATGAAAGTAACATACTGTTTTCTATGTCATCTGTCATCACAGCATCCAATGGGACTGCACTTATCCTATGGCATGAAGTAACTCTGCCAGGTTCGTCATCCTAGAGATGACCCCATTACCAAGAAATTTTGCCTTAAGGAATATAACCAACTTTAAAAAAACAAAAACAAAAACAAACAAAAAAAACCACTTATATAGGGCTTATTCACCAGGCGCTGTTTTAAGCACTTAGTAACTCATTTGATCCTCACAGCAACTTGTTTTGGGGTCAGTATTATTTTTTATTATTATTATTTCCATTTTACAGGTGAGAAAACTGAGGCATAGAAAGTTTAAGAAATTTGCCAAAGTCATTCAGCCATGCTACCTCTCAGTATTAGCATTACCTGTTAATAAACTTGAACGCTTACAAATTGCCACATTTTCTCAGCTTGATCATGCAGTTTGTCTTCGCAATCTGCTAGAACACTCATGTGATTTACCAGGAGTGGTGAGTCAGTGGCAAGAAGCCAATCTGAAAAGAAAAATAAGCCCCACTTGCTTCAGCACCTTGGAGAGCATCTTCCAACTACTGGCCCAGACAATAGAGCAGCTCTCAAAGACCTAGTGAGGTTCTGCTATAAAGGGGTGAGGCTGAGAACAGGAAGACGTCAAGCTAATGGGGATTGTTGCTCCTCCTTTCTCTTACAAAGATCATGCTTTTATGATGACAGAATTAGGTGTAGGATTTTCAGGCCAGTTTTAGCCCAGTTCAGCTGGAGCCTGGGACCTCACAGCTCTGGTTTTCCCATTCTTGGGCTATTGGGATGTCTGGGGCCTAAAAGCAGATGAGCTTTATACTTAATATTTAGTCCTCCCGTTGCATATGGGTGTGTCTTTCTTTTTTTTCCCCAAATCCCTTCCAGGAGACTATCTTCCAGGGCAATTAAGCTTTCACCGAGGGACCATTGATGTACTTTTTCAGTTTGCCCATAACAGAGGCAGTGAAGTTCATGGTTAGAACAGAGCTCTGAGTTTAGACTGCCTGAGAATTTCTCTCAACTCTGCCATTTTCCGGATGTAACCTTGGGCAAGGTGCTTAGCTTTATTAAGCCCCAGTTTTTTCATCTGTAAAATGGAGCTAATAATGGTAACTGAGTCATGAGATTGTCCTAAGGCTTAAATAAGGTAATATGGTTAGAAAACACATTTTATCATGAGAAGAAATAGGGACTGTGGTGATGCCCCTTCTTGAACAATAAGATTCATGTAACTGACATACGTTCCCTCTCTGCTTTGGCTGTCAGGGAGCTTCGGTTGCACAGAGTAGCATTAGCAACACTGTGAGATGCTAAGACCTGCCCATTGGTGTTTCTTTACTTCTCCTCCAGTCCTGACCTTCCCTTCTGATTAGCATATTCTTTGATCCTTTGTTTTGTGATTGTATTATCTGTGTCATTTCAGGTCACTGCACATGATGGATAGATAGATAGATAGATAGATAGATAGATAGATAGATAGATAGATAGACAGACAGATAGATGTAGATCATTAGAATGTAAGTCCCAAATAAGCAAAGAGTTTTGTCTATTTTGTTCATTTCTATATCCCAAAGGACTAGGATAGGGCACAGCATATAGTTGGGGCTTAGGAAATATTTATTGGAGAGAGAGAGACAGAGAAAGAGAGAGAGAAGGAAGGAAGAAAAGGAAGGGAGGAAGGGAGGAAGGAAGGAAGGAAAGAGAGAGAAAGAAAGAAGAGAAAGACAAAAAGGGAAGGAAGGAAGCAAGGAAGGAAGGAAGGAGAAAGAAAGGAGAGGGAAGGAAAGAAGGAAAGAAGGAAGGAAGGAAAAAGGAAAGAAGGAGAGAGAGAGAAAGAGAAAAAGAGAAGGAAGGAAAGAGAAGAGAAAGAGAGAAAGAAGGAATGAAGGAAAAAGAAGATAAAGAGAGAAAGAAGGAAGGAAGAAAGGGAGGGAGGGAGGGAAGAAGGGAGGGAGGGAGAGAGGAAGGAAGGAAAGACCTCTCTTGCCAATTTCTTTCTACCATCTGACCACACAACTGTTTCATGGCTTGCTTTGAAAAGATCACTAGACACCCCTTCTTACTTGTCACATCTGCCCATAAGTGATGCTCAAAATAATCTCTTTACTTAAATTTGCTATGGTCACTAACTCAGTAGCTTTGCATCGGTGCTGGGTTAGCTGTCTGCTACCACTATCCTAATTATCCATGATTACACAAGTCTTTGCCAGGCAAACGAGCTGCAGGAGAAGTTTCAGTGATGATGCTTCTCACAGTGTAGTCTGTCTTTCCCCTGTTGTCTAAGGACAGATGAGGATGCAGGGCAGGAGACTGGTTAGGAAAATTCCTCATGATCAAAATAACCAATCTCGAAATCTCAGTGGTGCAGATCCTTCTCTAAAAGCTAACAGGGCTTTACTGATGCAATAGAAACAACAGTAGTAAAATTAGTTGCAGCAGAAACATGCCCTTCTGACTCAGAGACCCAGTGTGTGGGTGGAGCTGTACCATGTATCTAATGAGGAAATTCCCCTGGGAAGGGCTGGATCCTTCCCTTTGACACAGCCAAAGGCTTCAGCACTGCTAGGTATTTGTGACAGATTACTAGGCAATATGAATGCATTGGGGGTGGAGTGGAAGAAACGGTCAAATCCCCAACCAGAGCACAGCAGCTAACACAGTTTCCAAACCCTCTCCAGCTGAATTCAACTAGCATTTATTGAGTGCTTACTATGTGCCACGGCCAGAGAATTATTGGGTGTGTTCAATTTCCAGGCATTTGATTTGGAAAAGATGCTTATACATGCCCCTCTCTCCCCAACCTCCTCCCCTCGAGCTGACAGCCTTGGCCTTGAGATCTTTATACCCTCCCAAGTCAGAATCAGCTTCCCCTCCGATTTTTGGAAGGAGTCCAGTCTACCCTCTTCTCTCTCTCAGCAGGGATCATATAAACAGCAATTCCAACCAGGCAGGGAGCGCTTGTCTTTCATTCCCTTCAGGAGCTCTCCCAGCTCTGGTCTTGTTAGAAGGATCTCACATTGGAAGTCTCCCTGGGAATAAACACATGTTTCTGATAATGCTAAAGATTAAGCCAATGAAATAAAAATTCATTTCTGAGACATGAACTGTAAATGACCAGGATTTTCCACAGAAATATTGGTACTTTGGCAGAGGCTCGGCAACCCTCAAGTTGACAGTAATTTGCTGCCGTGTGCCAGGCAAGTCCTGAAGTCATTCAATAGACAAGACATCATCAAATACCACATCTAAATTCTGTTCATATTATTAGAATGAAAAGGGTAATGCAATTCAATTGCCTAGAGAATCGTCGTACACACAGACCTAAACAGAGCTGGCCAGAGACAAAATTTCTTAGCAAGTGAAGTTTGTCTACAGGGCCCCTGGCTTGCCTTCCTCCACCCTTCCAACTGGACCTTTTCCTTGTACAGGAATCCGGTGTGAATTAAAGTCAATGCGTTGCCCCTCCCAAGGGTATTTGTGTTTTAAATGAACTCTCTAATTTGATAACAAGGGAATTAAAATTTCACATTTGTCAAATACCTACCATGGGCCAGGCACATTTTCACAAGCATTGTTCATCCTTACTGCCTACTGGGAACTTGTTCATTTGTGCAAGAAACATCTATTGGCTATCTACACTGAGCCAGGCACTGTGCTAGGTACTGGAGATCCAGCAGAGATCAAAAAGATAAAGACCTTCCCCTCGTGGGCTCTGCGGACTAATAGGAAGAAAGAGGCAATCAACAAACAAATGCATAAATGTTTATCAGGTGGTGACAAGTGCTCTGCAGAAAAATAAAGCAGGGCAAGGGGACAGAGAGTGACAGAAAGGGATGCTGTAGAAGATAGGGTGGTCTTGGAGGGCTTCTCAGAGGAGGCGGTCATTGAACAGAGCCCTGAAGAAAATCAGCCAAAAGGCATGTTGCTATGTTGAAGACAGGACATTGCGGTGGGGAGTACTCCAGGTCGAGGGAACAGCAAATGCGTAGGTCCTGCGAGTCCTTGGTGTGCCCCAAGAAGGAGACAGATGGGAGAGAACAGCGTGGATGAGGTGGGGAAATGGAGGAGGCAGGAGCAGGGAAGAAGAGGAGGACAGACACGGAAGGGCTTGTGGGCTGGGATGAGGACTCTGGAATCTAAACTGAGGGACATCAGGAGCCACTGGAAGGTCTAAGCAAAGGAGCGACCTTCATTGACTTGGGTTTTCAGAAGCTGGCTCTGGCTGCTGGGTGGACAGGCTGCACAGGAACAAGCGCGGAAACAAAGAGGCCCTTTGGGAGACAGCTGCAGTGACCTGGGAAGGAGTGAGTGAGGGAAGGTGATGCTGAAGGCTCGGGCCCTACCTTCTGCAGTGGGTCTTATGGTTCCCGTCCTGCAGGTGAGGAAACCGAGATGCAGAAAGGGTAGGCAGTCAGCCAAGGCCAGCTGGCTAGTAAGCAGCCAAGCGTGAGCCCTGCAGGCTGTCCAGCTGCAGAGGCCTGCCTCCTAGCCCCTGCCACAAGCTTCCTGTGACCATGCGGAGAGAGGCACTGCTCCTCCGTGAAGGAAACTTACTCCTCAGAGAGCAGGAAGAAGGATTTTTGGAGGCTGAGGATTTTTCTGGGCCCTTGTAATCTCCCTCCAGCCCTTGCTTTGAAAGGGTTCCATCAAGAGGAAATATAACAATCGTCAACACTTAACAGGCTTTTCTGTGGACACAGCAGGCTTCTGAGTCACTCCTGCTTGTCATTGCAGATTCCTCACAACCGCCCCTGTGAAGGAGCCGCGATCTTCATTCCCATTCTACACATGAGAAAACTGAGGCACAACTATATTAACTGGCCGGGATGATAGGGCTGGGATATGAACCCTGGAAGTCTGGGTCCCAGAGTCCCTACTCTTGGACATGGTACCATTTCTTCCTTGAAGAGCTGCTCACTTTTGATGTGGTGCTGAATTTCGGACTTGGAGACTGAGGCTCATGCTGCTGATACACACTGAAACTGACTCCCATTGACAGGAACTCGGGAGACACTGGAGAGTGTCCCTGTGGGGGCTAAATGGCCCCTCCTCAAAAAGTGTTGATGGGGGCTTCCTGCCCAGGGTAGAAGACAGATGACAGGGCCTCAGGGTTCCCATCTGTCTCTAGGGAGCCAGTACCTCTCTCACTGTGTATCACTGGCTCATCCATCCTTGGGCACAAGCCTTCCAGATGTGGGGAGAGAAGGGTTGAGCAGTCATTAATGAAACCACAGCTGCCAACTCCCAATTTCATTTGATGGATGACTGAGATGTTCCCAACCCTTCATCCTTCCCAGTTTTGAGGGGAAAGGGGTAACCAGAGGAACAGGCTTACATGGAGAGGACAAGGATACAAACAGAGATGACACAGGGAGGAGGAGTGGACAGAGGAGGTTGGGTTCCCAAAAGACAAACTGTACCATTCTGGGAAGAAGAGAGGGTGCTGTGTGCCCCTGAAGGGAGAGAGAGAAATGGAGGACACAAATTCACAAAATACTACAATCCCAGACCCACATAAGTCCCTCTTTGCTCTCACACTTCCCTCTACCCAAAACGCTTTCCCCTCCTGTCCAGATGCCTCTGTGGCACTCAGTTATAAGACCTTCCCTAATACCTACCACTTCTTAGGAAGAACTGACCTAACTTCCCTTTATGCCCCTTTTGAGTAATCATCATAAACAACAACAAGATCTCTTTATTGAACTTAGTTTTTACGTACTTTTTATTTCAATTTCATATCAAAACAGCCCCACAAGATGGGTGTTGTTGGCTCCACTTGATAGAGGAGACATCTAGAGCTCAGAGAAGTGAAGTGAAGTGACTTTCCCGAGGTCACACAGACGAGTAACTGGAGGATCCACGATCCAACCTGGAACACCTGCCTCAGAAGCTCAGGCCTTGGCCCTTACATATCTACCCCTCCGCCGGCTGAGTTAGGGAATGGCTGGCACATTTTCTCAGTCACTTTTGCATCTTCAGCACCCAGTTGGTGCTTAGTAAATATTGATGGGAATGACTCATGAATGAATAAATGGATGAAAACTGAGTTATAATGAACAGGAGTCTATAAATATGCTCACATGCACTTACATTTGCAGAGACAATGCTAACAGTTCTTGAGAACCATTTTTTTATTCAATATAAAAAGTGCTTATTGGAAATGTACTGTGTGTGAAACGCTGGGGATATCGTGGGAAGCAGAACTGTCCTGGTCCTTAACCTTCAAGAGCGCATAAAATAGAGGAGGAGAAAAACTAAAAACAGTCAACAATATCACAAATGGAAATGTATTTGCAAATTATTAAAAAGTGAAGTAAAGAGTGCAGGGTACTAAAGAGAGGAGTGTGGTTAGACAGAGGGGGCCAAGAACTCTCTCCAAGTGAGAAATACTTAAGGTTGAATGGAAGTCATCCAGAGAAAAACTGGGGGAGAGTGTTCCAGGCAGAAGGAATGGCATATGCAAAGGCACCAGTGCAAGACTAAGAGCTTAGAGCCTTCCAGAAAGTACCAGAAGCTCAGCATGGACAAAGCAAAGAGCAGGGGCAATGGAAGCAGACAGAGGTAGAGACACAGGCAGAACTAGAAGATGCAGTCCCTCGTGCCCTCAATAAGTGTCCTGGATTCCAGCCAAAGGGCCATGGGAAGCCTCTGAAGGGTGTGAAGCAGGGAAGGGACCTGCGTCAATCTGCTCCTGTTCTGTGGGCAATGCGAGCAGAGAAGGAAGCAAGAAACAGGCAGAAAGACTGGCCAGTGCAATCATCCCAATGGGAGTCGCCTGGGCCATAGGCAGTGATGAGAAATGGGTGGGTGCGAGATCCCTTTGGAAGCAGGAAATGGACCACCAATGATATTGACATAACTCAGACAGGTCCACACATGAACCCACAGAGGAGTAAAGGCAGTATGGACTTCAGAAACAGACAAGATTCTTTTTTTTTTTTTGAGATGGATTCTCACTCTGTTGCCCAGGCTGGAGTACAGTGGCACGATCTTGGCTCACTGCAACCTCCACCTCCCAGCTTCAAGCCATTCTCCTGCCTCAGCCTCCTGAGTAGCTGGGACTACAGGTGTCTGCCACCATGCCCCACTAATTTTTATATTTTTAGTAGAGACAGAGTTTCACCATGTTGGCCAGGGGCTGGTCTCCAACCCCTGATCTCAAGTGATCTGCCTGCCTTGGCATCCCAAAGTCCTGGGATTACAGGCGTGAGCCACCGCACCTGGCCAGGAAACAGACAAGATTCTAATCCGTCACCTATCTTCCATGGCTGTGTGGTTTTAGGCAGCTCACCGACCTCTTGAAGCCTTGGTTTCTTCAACTGGAAAATAAGAGAATCAGCCTCCCCAGGACGATTGTCATTGAATGAGATGATGCATATGACAGTGTGGAGTGCGGTGAGCCTCTCCAAACAACCCAACCTCCCTTTGCCGTCTCCAGATACCGAGAGCCCGACTTCCAAGCTGCCCCCCTGATCACTGGGCTCTACTGCCTACGTAAACATTTTTAAAGAAAATGAATCCCCATATACTCCATGCCAAAGAGAAAATGCAGGCTGGCCTTGCTAGGAAGGCTTGCAACAGCCTGCCAACCTTGTTCCACTAATACTCGTCAGTGGCCACAGTCTCTCATCACTTGAACAGTAACTCAATTACCAGTCCCTGGGCACCTTCAGGCACAAAGCCTCTCCCATGGGTCCCCATTGTTTTTCTGAGAAGCCCAGGACACAAGTCAATTTCTTGGCCCTAATGAGAGCTTTTCACCACCTGACAGTAGCTATTGAGCATGTGCTAAGTAAATGCAGTCTTAAGGCCACCCAGGCCACTTCCCAAGACAAAGGCCCTAGCCAGCCAGGAGGTGCAACATGGGCTCTGGCACCAGAGCCTCACACAGCAGATGTTGCTGCCTTCAAGGCTGGCCCAATTATGATGTTAACGCCCTGGACGTTAATCCCTGGGTCCTTGCCAGCCAGAACCTGCTCTGCTCTCTGGTTTAATAACACAAGTCCTCTGGAGGGATCAAGTATGGATCTTGGGAATGCCACACTTTTAACTGGTCAGATTCAAAGCCCAGCTTCTTCTCTGCATTACAAGCAAGGCCTGAGATTTCCAAGTATTTTAGCCACGTGAATGCCTGCCTACACCGCCACAGGGCAGTCGGTAAGGATTGTGATTGCAACTGAGATTCAGAAAATTAAATGTCTTTCTCAAGGAAATAGAAGACATTCATGGGAACTCCTTGAATACAGATTTGCTTTCCTGACACTCAGATTTCTGAGACTTGTTAAATAAACGAGAAGTTCCACGGGGGTACGGTAAATAGCACAGTGTCTGGCACAGAGTAAACATTTTTGGCATGCATGGCTAGTCCTGATTCAAATTCAATATCAGATCTATGATGTACAGTTCAATGGCTCAGTTGTTTAAAGGTAAAATATCCACTCTGCATTATCAGGGACAATTTCTTAACATCTGTTGCCTCACCATCTAGAACACTCCTGAGCCATCTTTCCCCCTGTCCAGGTTGTGTGTATGCCACAGAAGCTGGTCCCGGGGGAACCTGATCTAGGCGCAACATCAAGGAGGGCTTCCTTGAGGTGGTTGAGTCTATGAGAAACGGATGGCATGTAGGTGTGAAGCTGGCACTGGCGCATTTGGGGGTTGGGGAAGGAACGGGCTTGTAAAGTGCATTCTGAGCAGAGGGAACAGCTTATGCAACATCCCGGGGCTGGATTATGGAGAAGGAGGTGGAAAGGGATAGAATGGGATGAAGATGGAGAGAGAGGCAAGGCTCAGACAATCAGGTACTCAGTGGGCCATGTTAAGAATGTTGGTTTTTATTCTAAAAGCTGTGGGAAGTCATTGAAGAGTTTTGAGGGTGAGAAACGGCAGGAGTGAAATGATCAGATTTGATCTCGAACTGCCTGGAGAAAAGCCTCAGAGGTATGCAGAAAAAGCCCAGTTGCGAAGCTATACCACAGAACGAGATGCAAGGAGTTAGTGGCTTAGGCCAGGAAGGCAGCAGCAGAGACAAAGAGAAGAGGATGGATTTCAAAATTTTTTAGGACCTAACGGATTGGATGTGAGGATGAGTGAAAGGGAAATATCCAGGATGACTCCCAGAATCCTGACTCTCACAACTGGACGTGGTGAGCAAGAGATGCTGGGAAAAGACCACATTGGAGGGATGGGAGGTGAGCGACATGGAGAAGGGAGTGGATCATGAGCTTGGGTTGAGGTGCCTTGGAGACAGCCAAGTGGCAACAACATGTAGGGAGTTGGAGATACGGGAAACTCCCTGTAGGGAGTTTCAAGATACCAGGGCCAGAGTTACAAATGTGGGAGTCACTGATATGAGGGTGGTAACTGAAGCTACAGTTTCCTGGGATTTCTTCGGGACAGATGACATCAAAGGGATGTACCACAATTTACTTAAGCCTTCTCCCACTATTAGATGTTTGGGTTGTTTCTGTCTTTTGACATGGTAAGTGGCCCAGTAACAAGCATCTTTGTCCTCGTTTGTAGCTTTTTTCCATATTCTAGGTTAACTCTCTAAGTAGCTGACATTACTAACATGGTTAGCAATGAATACCTGCTAAGAGAATAAATATATATGTTCATTCTCCCCAGAATAAAATAGAAATTCTTTTTTGATTGACCATTTTTCTTTTTTTTTTTTTTTTGAGACGGGGTCTCGCTCTGTTGCCCAGGCTGGAGTGCAGTGGCGCAATCTCAGCTCACTGCAAGCTCCGCCTCCCGGGTTCACACCATTCTCCTGCCTCAGCCTCCCAAATAGCTGGGACTACAGGCACTTGCCACCACACCTGGCTAATTTTTTTGTATTTTTAGTAGAGACAGGGTTTCACCATGTTAGCCAGGATGGTCTTGATCTCCTGACCTCGTGATCCACCCACCTCGGCCTCCCAAAGTGCTGGGATTACAGGCGTGAGCCACTGCGCCTGGCCTTGATTGACCATTTTTCATCATGGCCTGTGTAACTTCTTTCTTCCAATATCTGGGTGATTTATTAAGTCTTCCCTAACCAGGCCAACCAAAGGGACCTTCTTCCTCTGAATTCTCATGGTTAATCCCAGAGACATTCACTCCAATCTTATCCTTCAGAAGCCTGATATTTTAGGACATATACACACATGAAAGATAATGGTCTTCCCCACTATATAAACTTGAGATCTGGGACTATGTTTTATACTTCTTGAGTCCTCCTCAGAGCCTAGCAAAACCTGGCACAAGATCTATGTGTAATGATTATTGCAGATAACTAACTAAGCAAGAGGATAGTAAGAGCTAATCTATTAAACCCCTGCTATATACCAGACCTGTCCTGGGAGCTCCAAAAAACAAAGTCTATTTCAACCCTCCTAAAAAAATTTTACCAGTGTTTTGCAAAGGTATCAGGGTAATGGTATCTGATATAATAAATAAACCCCCAGATCACAGTGGCTCGATTCATAGAAGTTTATTTCTCACTCACTTTAAGTCCAAAACAGGCAGCTCTCCTCCAAGTATTGATTCAGGGACATATGCCTTTCAATCTTACAGCTCCACTGTCTCCAACACACAGCTTCTGAAGTCACCATGATCCCCTGCCTCAAACTAGAAGGAGAAAAATCATGGCAGATCATCTAGGAGAGGCTGTAATGGGTAGGCTTAGAAGTGACATACATCCCATTCATCACAGCCACTGGTCAGATCCCAGGCCTGTGGTCACACCTAACCAAAAGGAAGCTTGAGAAATGTGGTCAGGCAGAGTGCTAGACTATAGGGAAAACAGCCTTAGGTGGTTCATAGTAGTCTCTGCCACATGAAGATAGAAAGCAAAGCCCAGAGATGCTAAGTAACTTACCTGACGTCACTCAGCCTATACACAACTGAATTAGAATTCACTGTCAAGTCTGTATGGCTTGAAAGTCTATGCTTTTTTTCACCACATCCTACTGATTGGCAACCATCACTGGGGTCCTCTCCTTCTGGGGTGGCCTCTGAGCTGCATCTATTTGAATCATCTTGGCAATTGTTTAATTTCATGTATAACCCAATTCCAAACTGCAGTGAGAGCGACAGATCCACCGAAACCGACTTTCAGATGTATTTTGCAGATGCATCCTCCATTTATTTCAAATGTGTTACTGGCTTGCTGCTTTAACAAGTCAATCAACTCACAGGCATGCCCTTGCAGTACGGAGGTACATATTCCTGTTCTAAAGCCCACGTCTTATAAACTTGACATATTCAGATGCTATGCCTTTTATCGTGAGTAAATTAAGCTCTTAAAATGTCAGAATGTTTTTGTTTCATTTGACATTCTCACCATAGGTCAAACTGCCTCCAAAACAGACATGTCTAAATAGCTGTCTAACCATATCGCTCAGAATGACTTTTTAGGAAGTCTAGGACATCCAGGAGTGTGGTGATCCTGAAGCCCTTGAGCATCAGTAATTCTGTTTGGATCCGTTCCCATGTAAGCAATTTACATCTGCTGTGTTATGGATCCAGAGGTTGGAAAACCAAAAGGGATCTTGGGAAGTCATTGGCTCTAACCTTTGCTTTGCAAGCATAAACCTTAGAACCTTAAAATTGGGAAAAATAATGACATTAGGAAGAACAATAGCAGTTACCCTCCGTGAATGCATTCATTCAACACATAGTTATTGGGAACCCCCTTAGTGCCAAACACTGTTATAGAATCTGAAGATATGGAGCTGGCATTCTGATGGGGGAAAGAGTGGATGCACAAATAAATATAAAATGAGTTAGGTGTTGATGCGTGCTTTGAAGACACATAAAGTAAGAAGGATGCAGAATGATCTGATAGGAAGTTGTAAGGTTACACAGAGTGGCTAGGGAGGGTCACTCTGATATTTGAGCAAAGACCTGAAGAAGTGAGGTAGTGAGGTTCTAGGTAGAGAGAACAGTTAGCAAAGAGGCTTGAAGGGAGAATATGCTGGCGTCTTCCAGAAACAGCAAGTAGATTGGGTGAGCTGGAGACGTGAATTGTAGGAGAGGTGGCAAAGAAGATTGGGAAGGGGGATAGATTGGGTAAGGTCTTATAGCCCAGGAAAAGGATGCTGGGCTTCACTTGGGCTGAGATAAGGAGGCTTGAAGGGTAAGGATAGCTAGAGAAGAGAGGTTTGAGGATGAAGACCTGGGCACTCCACCAGTTAGGGGTCTAGAAGATGAGGAGGAATCCACAAAGAGACTGAGAAGGAGTAGCCAGTGAGGTAGGAAGAGAACCAAGCGAGGGGGTGCCCGAAGGCAAGTGAGAAAGGGGTTCAAGGAGGGAGTGAGCAACCAATTAAATGCCACTGATGGGTCAAGTAAGATGAGGACAGATAACTGACCATCAGATCTGACAAGCAGAGGTCACTGGTAACCACATCATGAGTCATGAGAGGATGCTGGAGATGAAATACTAATGGGAGAGAGAGAGAAGGGGGAAGAGAAAAGGGATTGAGAGAGAGAGAGAGAGAGAGAGAGAGGAGAGGAGAGAGAATCTCCTAGTATTAGCTGGGCATAGCAAAGTTTCTTTACATGAATTTCCCAATTTAATTCACAGGACCAACTTGATGGCAGGGGGAAGGTCAGTTGTTTTTTCCTTTTTACAAATGAGGCCCAGGGGGATCACGCAGCTCCTACGTGTGAAAGCTGGACTTGGTCTTCCCGTGTGCCAGACCGCAGAGCTCCCCTCTTCTTTCCTCAGAGCAGCCTATGTCTTCGAGAGACCATCTGGGGCAGCCGACATAAAATGGATTCTCATTTTTTTAAAAAAAAAAGTCAGAAAATAGGTCATTCAGCTTCCCTTTGAACAGTGCCTGAATCACTCTAATGATTAGCATCTCTCCTTTCGAGTTGTAAATACAGAGGTTCCATCATAGTCCACCCCTGTACATGACCACACAGTGTGGCGTGTTCTTCAAGGAAGTTCTTCCTTTCATTACTCCACTTCTTTCCTTATTAAAAATAAAACTTTTCTTTGAATAGGAAAATGATTCTGATTCCCATTGAATCCAACTCTCAGAAGGGCATGAGCATTGGAGTCCTTTTTCCACCTCAGACTCTAGCCTGAGGTCCAGCCCTAGCCAGAGAGCCCATGTCTCTGCTGGAAGATCCATCTGGTTGTCCCGCTGGCCCTCATATCTGTTGAGATGCTTTGAGTTGCAGGTAAGAAAACACAACCCAAACTGGCTTCACAGTAAAAAAAAAAAAAAAAAGAGTTGCTCACATAACCGGGCAGTTCCAGCTAGTTTGCCTGTTTCTCTTGCTATCCTGAGGCTGAGAGTGAGACAGGACAGTGCCTTGGGGCCACACATCCACAGAGGACCAGAGAGAGTCACTCTGGATGCTTTTAGATAAAAACAAGGAAGATACTTTCTCAGAAGGCCCCAGAAAACCTTTCCTCCTGTCTCTTTGGCCCAAGTGGGTCACAGGACCACTTCATGCTAATTATTGCTCAGGGATAGGTTACCTGCCTGGACAGGAAGACCATCCTGGGGCTAGGGTGGGGCCAGCTTCCCCTGAAGGACACTGCTGACACAGAGGTGGGGGCTGAGAGGCAGTTGTTTCACAAGATCAGTGTCCTGTGAGAAGGGAGGAAGGGTCACATGCACCCCAGGGAAGTGACACACCACATCTCCTACATCTGAGTCCATAACTGAACTCGCCTTCTTCACCTTCCTCCACTGCATTGCAGTGGATGAAAACACCATCTGTGAACTTCCAGAACCCAGGGAACAGGAGCTCCCTTGTCCTCGCCTCTCTCATCTCACACGTGTACCGAGTTGCTGCATCCTGCATCTTTTGCCCATTAAAGAGCTCAAGAGGGCCGGGTACGGTGGCTCACGCCTGTAATCCAAGCACTTTGGGAGGCCGAGGCGGGTGGATCACGAGGTCAGGAGTTCGAGAACAGCCTGGCCAACATAGTGAAACCCCGTCTCTACTAAAAATACAAAAATTAGCCAAGTGTGGTGGCAGGCACCTATAGACCCAGCTACTTGGGAGGCCGAGGCAGAAGAATCGCTTGAACCTGGGAGGCGGAGGTTGTAGTGAGCCAAGATCGTACCACTGCACACCAGCCTGGGTGACAGAGCAAGACTCTGTCTCAATAAATAAACAAATAGCTCAAGAATCTGTCCACATCTCTCCATCCCGCCTTACTCAGGCTATCACCAACTCTGCCTGGGCTATGACAACAGCATCTTAATTCATTTCATCTCTCTGCTTCCCACCACATCCTTCCATGCAAACATCTACACTGGAAGCTCATGTCTCAAAAGATAATACCCGACAGTGTTGCTTCGCTTTGTAAAGGCCTTCAGGGTCTATCTGAAGCTTCAAGGTTTGGGTTCAGCTCTCTCAGGGCCAACAGGGTCCTTCATGACCTCTACCTTCCCCTCCAGCCACCCTGTACCTCTTTCAATGAACCTGGATTTATGCCATCCTGAGGTATATTAGATTCCCAAATGCTTGCTGTTCCTGACTCCAAGCAAAATTGCTCTTCCCCTCCTAGATAAATGGTCACCATCCATCTGGTGCTCAGGTAAAAATCCTGAGAGTCATCCTTGATTCCTCTTCCCTTCACCCATGACATCAAACCCTTTTGTGGATAAGGTTGACTCTGCCTTCAGAATATGATCCCAAACTGCCATCTCCTGTCCACGCCCACAGCTTCTACCTCCACCCAGGCCACCAAGGCTTCCCACTGGGTCTGCCACAATACCTGACCAACTGGTCTACCTACCCACTGCCACCCCTTACAAACTATTCTTCAGGTCCTCAGCAGAGCCCACAGTGCTACATCATCTGGCTCCTGCTTACCTCTGTGGCCACATGACCCCTTCCCATGGTCTCCCTCCCGCACTGCCTTCTTCTGGTCCTCGTCGACACCAAGCTTGTCTCTGCCTAAAAGCCTTGCTGTTCCCTCTCCCCAAAATGCACTTCCCCGGGCTTTGCATGACTGATGCAGGGGGCAGCATGGAAGGTGATTTCTCTGAGATGGACTCCCTGGCTACCTTTACGCCCCCATGCCCTCGCATCACATTATTCCTTCCTGTAGGCTTTGCGACACATCACCATTTGAAAGCCTCTTCTTTGTGGATTCATTTGTTTACTTGCTCACTCTCTGTTCCCCTAGAATATAAGCTCTCTAAAGGCAGAGACTTTCTCTGTCTTCTTCACTGCGTCCTTGGGAAACTTGGGAACTTGTGCCTGGAACCCAGTAGGAGCTCAATATATGTGCTGAATGAATGAATGAATGAATGAATGAAGTGAATGAACAAATGACTGTTCTACTTGTCTGACTTGTATTCTTCTCACCTGGCCCCCTTTACCTGCCTAACTCCTTCATGTCCTTCAAGTTCAGGTCTGCTGATCATCTCTCTCTCTCCCTCTGCTCTCTCTCTCTCTCTCACACACACACATACACACGAACACACACACACACACAAACACACACACACAGTTAGTTGCCCCTCTCCTCTATCTCCCACAATAACACCCAGCATTTACTGCTCACTGTATGTAACACTTTGCATTATGGTTATGGTCCCTCCCCCAAGCTCTGAGCTCCCTGGGGATGGGGCTACATCCTTCCACTCTGCATCTCCATCACCAGCTCACAGCCTGCCCAGGGAAGGCACTGGGTGACTGCCTATTGAGTGAATGAATGAATGAATGAACGGTGAATGAACGAATGAAGGAAGAATGAACATATTCTTCACCAGTATTTAAGGCTTCGGTTATTCCTTAAGATATAAAATCAGATCCGTCTTACCCAACTCACTCAATCAGTCTCCAAGTTTGGGATTTTGAAGAGCATCCTAATTCCCTCCCAATGTTCCCCTAAGTCCTTATTCTTGCCGTAACAAGCAAACACTTCTCTGAATCATTTTGGAACTGGAGCCTCCCTCAACATTGTATTTCTGATTGGTTGCTATCTGTTTTGACAGTTGTCAGTTTTTTTTTATTTATGCCAAGCTCTCCCTGGGGTTTAGTTCCCTGAATCCTCTCAATCTAGTGCCTAGAAAGAAGAGAAAATGACTTACCTGTAAATCTTTTTTATTGAAGGTGCACCATAAAACAGATCCTCTTTCACCTCTCCACTCTCTCCTGAGATTTAAGGATTCTTGGCTTTTATTGTTGTCTTTACCCCTCATTTCAAAAGAAAAAAGCAGTGGGGGTTGGAGGGGCTTATTATATCCACCTAGAAGGAACAGCAGGATTCACACTTTCCTGCCAGTGAACCCAAACAATCAGAGCTTTCTAGGGGAGTTCTTGACAGTTTCATGCCAGAAACACACACCAAGCTGAGGACATTTATTATATGGCACACATCCATGGAACCGAAATTACAGACCATTTTCTCCTACCTGTCCCTTCCATTTGATTTCTGGGAAATGTCCACGGATAAAACCACCAATTTCCACTAGGAAAGCAGAACCCTAAATATAAATAAGAGGGGACTTCTGGGGCTCCTACGGAGAGAAACTTTCCCTTGCTCGTTATAACTAGTGTTTGCACACATCGTGCAGAGCAGAGGCATTTGCAGGAAAAGAATATTTCAGAAACTCAAATGAACATTCCTTCCTCCAGTTACCCTTACTCCCTCTCTAATATCCATCTGGGCAAGGGTGTTGATTAAGGTCAATGCAAAGTGGCTTTATGTTTTGCTCTATTTTGTCTCTGCATATGCTAGTCACTGTGTACCTTTCAAAAACATCTCGTCCCCAACTATCTATTCCTTTTTATAAATAGCACACATTATTCTCTGATTGTATAAGCAAAACATGCTTATTATAAAAACTTGAGTACATACAGAAAAGTATATAGAAGACTTAAAATAATTCATAACGTTCTCGCCTAGAAATAATCATTGGTAACATTTTAGAAGAAATACTGAAAGTTATTTGCCTTTTTTCTGTGAATGTACATATATGTATATTATTAGGATTCAGTTCATATTGTATGCACAATTTTCTCTTTTTTCTTAACATCATATCAAAATGTTTGCAAGTCCTTAATCTTTGAAACATGACTTTGAAAACATAATCATATTTTGTTAGCCTTAAAATCCATCCTAGATAAAATAAAACCAAAGAAGTTATCAGGTGACAACAGTTACCCTGAAGTAAACAAGTGAGTCTAAAATTCGAAAATCAGAGTCAATTGCTGGGCATGGTGGCGCACGCCTGTAGTCCCAGCTACTTGGGAGGCTGAGGCGGGAGGATGGCTTAAGCCCAGGAGTTCGAGGCTGCAGTGAGCTATGATGGTGCCACTGCACTCCAGTTTCTTTAAAAAAAAAAAAAAAAAAATCAAAGTCATTCATGCTAACTGCTTTTGAGTGGTCTCCATGGCAACTTGCCAACAGGCAAGACTGAGGTGAGTTTAAGGCAGCTAAGCCTGAGAATGTAAAATTCAAAGTCCAGCTGTGGGTCACCGTTATCTCTAGCTAGTGGGTTGACAAGCAGTTTTTGCTTTCTTGATTGTTCCTTTCTGTACAGACTATATGTGTTACCGTGAGCATGCCCTGCTTTTAAAATCACAAACAAAGTATAATGCTATTTTCATTTTGAAACCAAACAACACCTAATTATGTATCTACCCTGATTCTCTCATTCATTTTCTCTCCCTCTACACACACACACACACACACACACACACACACACACACACACGTCCCCACTCTCATCCACTTCCCACTTTCACCTCCCACTATTCCAGGCACATAGGCTCCACCCCTACCCACTCCTTCCTCCTTCCCCCAGGTCCTAGATGGGGTCCTAGATGGGAGGGGAGGGAGTGGGGGGCTTTCATCTGATTCCCCAGTCTCTTCATATCTGGCTCTAGTTTACTGTCTCAAGCCTGATGCCAGGTTGTCTCCTCAGAGGAGTGACAGACTTTGACATAGACAGGCTTTGGAATCAGAAGAGCTCTGTCACTTCCTATCTGTGTGGCCCTGGCCAAGTCACTTAACCTCTCTGAACCTCAGTTTCCTCTTCTATAAAATGAGGATAACCAGCTTGGAGGATTATACCATGATTAAATGAAGTCGGCTTGCACCGAATAAATGCCTGTCACCCCATACTATACTGACCATCTTTGGGGTCTTCGTTTTACTCTAAAGCTGTCAGTTTTTCCTCTGGCCAAGACTGAGGCCAAGATCTCCCTATGTATAGCTACAGACTCTTAATCAACTGGGACTTTTCTGCTTGGATAAAGTGACACCTTTTAACATTAGAGCTGGAAAATCTCCCAAAAGCAAACCATTGAAGAGACAGAAACCAAAATATGACTCGACTCTTTAAAAAGCTCCTCCCTAGTTGTTTAAGGTTCTCAGCTTGCCTTTGCAGGGAAATCCACAAAGATCTCATAAATATGGTCTTCACTGATAAAGAAGAGAACAGACCAATGAAACCCTGACAGTATCTATTCTCTGATCTTACATTTTGTCCAATTATTAGAGGAGGAGCGGGAAGAAGGAGGAAGAGGAAGGAAGAAGAAGAGGATAAAAATAACAAATGGTGGTATGGATCAGATGATTCTTTTAAAAGAGAGGAAAAAAAAAGAAGTAGTCAAGAATGAGGTAGGTCAATGCTGTTATGCTTTGCCGGAGAAGCAAGCTTGGATCGAACATTTAAGTGACTCTTTCAGAGACTAAAACAAGTCAGCATCAGAAATAGGGTTAGAATTTGGAGCTCACAGTTAGTCTGCAACTGATACTAATTTTAAAGGTGTCGCCGGGTGCGGTGGCTCACGCCTGTAATCCCAGCACTTTGGGAGGCCCAGGCGCGTGGATCATCTCAGGTCAGGAGTTCGAGACCAGCCTGGCCAACATGGTGAAACCCCGTCTCTACTAAAAATACAAAAGTTAGCCGGGCATGGTGGCGGGCACCTGTATTCCCATCTACTCGGGAGGCTGAGTCAGGAGAATTGCTTGAACCCAGGGGGCGGAGGTTGCAGTGAGCCGAGATTTCGCCACTGCACTCCAGCCTGGGTGACAGAGTAAGATTCCATCTCAAACAAACAAAAAAAAGGTGTCAATGCAAAACCAGGTTTCAAGGTAGCTAGCTCAATCTGCTAAATTTTTCATGCCTGTGCCTTTAAATTCCCAAGCAGCATTGCCTGTTTCTGAGTAGCACTTGTTCTCAATTTTTGTTTTTTTCCAAGAAAATGACTTGAGGTAGAAAAGCACATACAGTCAAATTACCTTCTGAAGGTTTTATGAAAAATTATTTTTTTAAACTGTAGTTAAAGATAAACACGATTTCTCCAAAGCTGAGCTACTTTATCAAGTCAGACAAAGCATAATACAGTTTCCTTTTAAAAACCCAAATTAGCTGCTATCATCGGTGATGATCTGGATGTGATACATTACAGTTTGCAGAATCAAGCAGCCTACTACATACTTGGAAGCATCGTTCATTCGCTGGACAATACTTACTGAACACAGAGTTTGTGAGGGTGCTATCTAGACCCTGGGGACACCAACCAAAGCAAAGAAGGGGTAGCAGTGCCCTGCCCTGAAGGACCCTGCCCTCCAACAAGAGAATGGGGGTGGGAGGACATACAAACAACCTCAAGGCAGAATGTGATCACCAAATTACAGAGTGAAGAAAGGCCATCTCATCCAACCCTCGATTGAAATGAGGCCCAGAGAGTGGATGCAACTTGTCCAAGGTCACACAGCAAGTTAGTGGGAGAGCCAGAATGCATTTTCAGACTCTCTATCCAGCGTTCTCTCCTCTGTATACAGAAACTATTTTAATTTTTGAAACGTCCTGCATTCCCCTGCCAGGGATTGCACAAAGCCTGGTGGAGCCTCAGAGATGCCTTATTGACACCTTTTACATTAGGACCCTAACCTCAAAGAATGTTACATCTGGAAGGGACCCCAAGGATTAATCTGTGGTTCTTTTTTTTTTTTTTTTGAGACAGAGTCTCACTCTGTTGCCAGGCTGGAGTGCAGTGGCATGATCTCGGCTCACGGCAACCTCCAACTCACTGGTTCGAGCGATTCTCCTACCTCAGCCTCCCAAGTAGCTGGAATTATAGGCACATGCCACCACACCCAGCTAATTTTTGTATTTTTAGTAGAGACAGGGTTTCACCATGTTGGCCAGGATGGTCTCGATCTCCTGACCTCGTGATCTGCCTGCCTCAGCCTCCCAAAGTCCTGGGATTACAGGCGGGAGCCACCGGGCCCGGCCTAATCTGTGGTTCTTGATCAAGAGGGTCTCTCACCCCAGAGTCACAGAATCCAGGCCCTGGGGTTGGGGATAATTCAAGCCACCTTGAAGGTGTTCATTAGACCTTTCCCAAAGAACTAGGGGCAGGTTTGGAGGGGGGCCAGCAAGATGAAAGGGCAATGGGGAATTCAGAAACAGGAAAGAAAGGAGTAGAAAGATATGCAGGGAGGGAGACAGTTTAGGCTGGTCTTCACTGGCAGAAGTTTTGGAGGCAGACAGACCTGGGTTCAAGTCCAGGCTCTGACCCTCAGCCTGGGTGCTGTGGGTGAGCAGCCTGACCTCTCTGGGCCTGTTTTCTCATCTGGAAAAGAGAGCATTCCCCTACCTCATAGGTTTGCTACAGGGCTCGGGGCACTGACGGGGAAGATGTGGGGTGCCTGGCATGCAGTCAGTACTGTGCGAAGGACTGCCATTGCTCTCACCACCAGGAGCAGGCTGGGAAGGTGAGAGAAGCCTCTGCCTGGTTCACGGCTTTGCCTCGGGCCATCCCCGCTGCCTCCCACACAGACTCCAAGCATTTGCTGGTGCTGCATGATTTAGAAATGATTCTAGAATTCCAAATCATGAATTCCAGGGAATCTGGTCCCCTGATATCTGAAGCTCAAAGGCAACAAGGTCCCCTCTCTTGGGATCCCTAAGGCTGTAAGAACAGATGCATATTAATGAGATGAGGTGAGGAGTCGCCGCTTAGGAACTGTACAGTCTAGAATCTGCAAGCCAAAAGGCCCTTCAAGAACTTTGAGACCAACCCCGTCTTGGAGGCCCAGAGAAGTCAAGCAACTTGCCCAAGGTCACACAGAGCATTATTGGGGTTAATGAGACTGAACCCCAGTCTCTTCATCCTGACAGCAGAAATAATAATTGGGATGACAAGAGGACTCAATGAAATTTTGCTGTAGAGCATTTTGCACACTGGCCCACAAATGTCTTAATGAATGATACTAATAGTAGTTATCATTATCATTTTTATTACCATCGTCATCATCATCATCATTATTGTCAGTTTTTAAGCAATTCCCCCTAGATGCTCAGCTGAGTCCCTTTCAGTGGCTCAACCCTCACTCTTTCAGTCTCAGTCTTTCTGTGTCAATTACCAGCTAACGAAGTCACCGGGGGCAGACTCTGGCCAGGCACTCTTGTACTAACTCACTTGGTGCTCACAATGAACGCAATCGAGTAGATATTCCTGTTACCCCATTTTCCAGAGAGGGAAACTGGGCACAGGACAATTAAGCCATATGCCCAAGATTACACCAGCAGGAAGGGGCAGAGCTGTGGTTTTAGTCGAGGCTCTCTGGCCCCAGCATATGAATGCCAAATGCAACCTTCCCTCATCACACTTCCAAATCTTCTCCAGAGTTATGCCTCCATTAATAATCCACGTTCTGGACTGGGCATGGTGGCTCATGCCTGTAATCCCAGCACTTTGGGAGGCCGAGGCAGGCAGATCACTTGAGGTCAGGAGTTCGAGACCAGCCTGACCAACATGGTGAAACCCCATCTCTTCTAAAAATACAAAAATTAGCCCAACATGGAGGTGCATGCCTGTAATCCCAGCTACTCAGGAGGCTGAGGCAGGAGAATCTCTTGAACCTAGGAGGTAGAGGTTGCAGTGAGCCAAGATCGTGCCACTGCACTCCAGCCTGGGAGAGAGAGAGAGAGATCCTGTCTCAAAAAAAAAAAAAAAAAAAAAAAACCCATGTTTTGAAGACTGAATGAGAAAGAGGACTTGTCTTACCTTTTTTTTTTTAAACGGAGTTTTGCTCTTGTTGCCCAGGCTGGAGTGCAATGGCGCAATCTTGGCCCACTGCAACCTCTGCCTCCCGGGTTCAAGCGATTCTCGTGCCTCAGCCTTTCAAGTAGCTAATATTACAGGCATGCGCCACCACCCCAAGCTAATTTTTGTATTATTGGTAGAGACGGGGTTTCTCCATGTTGGCCAGGCTGGTCTCGAACTCCTGACTTCAGGTGATCTGCCCGCCTCAGCCTTCCAAAGTGCTGGGATTACAGGCGTGAGCCACCGCGCCCAGCCCTTGTCTTACGTTTTAAGTGATTTAGTGTCAGAGCATGGCTGGCATGTAACAGGAACCTAAAAATTGTTCCCTCCCTCCCCACAGAGGTCCAGAGCCGAATGTCTGCCTTCACCCGGCATATTTTGGCTTCTGTTCCCACAAGATGGCTTGTGTTACATATGTTGCTAAACTCTCCTTTCCTATTCTAAAAGTAAGGAAGTAAGATCTAAACCCATGGATCTCCAGTCCATCCCTGGACCTCATGATCCTCATGATGAGTACATCCCTGGACCTCAGCACTTTGGGGAACTTATTAGGAAGGCATATTTTCTGGTGTTGCCCCAAATCCATTGAATCAGAAATTCTGGGCATAGGGCCCTGCAGTCTGCATTTCCACAAGCCCTGCGGGAGATTCCATGGCACACTAATAATTGAGAACTGCCGATTTCAAGTATTGTGCCACACTAGCTTGTGCCTAGCACATAGTTGGGGGCTCAGGAAATGTTGGTTGAGCCAATTGGCCAGGTCTGAATCCTGCCCCTCCACCGACTAGCTAAACAAGTGTGCACAAGTCACTAAACTTCTCTGTGCCTCAGTTTCCTCATCTGTAAACAGGGAATGAGAGCCGTGCCTTCTTTGTAATGGTGTTTGGAAAGTTAAATGAGATCATAGATAGAAAGCCTTGAGCAGAGTGAGCGGCACATAGGGAGCACTCAGTAAATGTCACCTGCTGTTTAATTGTTGTCGTCTTTGGCAGATACATGAACCAACATGCTGGAAAACAGTATGGTTTGTCTCGCAAACCTACAAGTTTGTCTTCACTGGCTGAAGATCCTGTTGTCTTTTTAATGCCGCTCTAGTTAGGAAATCTTTACTGAGCATCTACTATTTCCAGCATCTTTTCGATTCTGTGATGTCAGGGTGAATAAGACACTGTCACCAGGAGCCTGCACTGGCAGGGGAGGACACAGGGGAGCACAGGGGAGTATGTGCTACAGTGCCTGTGTGTGCATGCAACAGAAAGGCAAGAGGGAAGCTCCAGTAGTGTTTGTGTGTGTGCCTGTGTATGTATGCATGCATGCACACACACCTCATACTTAATCTTCATTTTTCTTTTTTTTTTTTTTGAGGCAAAATCTCACTTCATCACCCAGGCTGGAGTACGGTGGCACCATCTCAGCTCAGTGCAATCTCTGCCTCCTGGGTTCAAGCGATTTTCATGCCTCAGCCTCCCGAGTAGCTGAGTTTATAGGTATGTGCCTCCATGCCTGGCTAATTTTTGTATTTTTAGTAGAGATGAGGTTTCGCCATGTGGGCCGGGTTGGTCTCAAACTCAAATTTTTGTATTTTTAGTAGAGACAGGATTTTGCCATGTAAGCCAGGCTGGTTTTGAACTCCTGACCTCAGGTGATTCGCCCGCCTCGGCCTCCCAAAGTGCTGGGATTACAGGCGTGAGCCCCCGCACCCGGCCAATCTTTGTTTTCCTAAATAAAAAGCGACCTATGGACATTAGGGATGGAATTCATTCTGTTCTCCTGGTTTCTTTAGTAGTTTCAAGAATGAGCTCAATACCTATAAGAGATCCATTAGACATTCATCCAGGCAGCAAGTTTAATCCAAAAGCAAGTCACTTTTTGGCCTTGAATTGCTCCCATCTCATACAATGTAAGAGTTCTAAACACAAAGTTTGTTACCAGAACAGACAGACTTGGACTATCAAACCCAACAGTCAGGAGCAGGCTGCTTAGGTGCTGGCAGCTCTGACACTAGATTTCCAGAAGCAGGGAAGGCTTCCCAGAGGAAGTGCAACTCAAATCAGCCTTGAAGGATAAGGATTGGAATAGTAAATACTTATTCTTTTTTGAGCTCCTACTGGCCTCAGGCCAGATACAAGACAGAACCTGGTAAATAATGCAAATGTGACTCTCATTGGCTCTGGATGCTCTGACGCAAGGCCCCGTGGTCAGCATTTAATGTGTGTGTCTGACGTGAGCTCCATAACAAACCCAGTAGGTAGTCACAAATTACCACTAGCACCATTTTACAGATGAGCAAAAAAAAGGTGCGGAGAAATTAAGTAACTTGGCCAAGGCCCACAGTCAATAATATTGCTGGAATTCAAATCTGGGGAGTCTTACTCATAAGTCTGTGTTCTTAAACACTCCACCATATCCCAAAACAAGTGAACTGACAAAAGAAGCAGAACAGATTTTCTACGTGGTGATTGTTTATTTGAAGGAAAGGAAAAAATACCATTAGAATCCTTTTTCTCCAAATGCATCCATGTGAACACATTTCTCTCTACACAGCAAACATCACTCTGGGGCATGAGTTTTGCTATCACTTAGTGGAAAGTCGTTCAATTGCATCCCAGAGGACCATCTGCCTTAAGTTCTTATGCTAGGAAAGGAATGCCTCTCTGAGCCACTTTCCCTCTGCAAACAGATTTGGAAGATTTGGACTGAAAGGTGAGGTGTCCAACTACTTGTCTTTGCTGGCCTGCTCTGCTGTAATCTGAGCGAAGTCACAGAAGATGGGGTAGGATTTCCTAGAGTCTATTAGTCCTTCCTAGACTCAGCAGTCCAGGCACTGTGTGTGTGTGTGTATGCACATGCTTGAACGTGTTTTCTAGTTGATGATAATCTTTTAAAATCCACTTAAGCATAACTGGCTTATAAGGATCTGCAGAGGCGCCTTCCAACCCAGCACGGCTGTGCCATTTCAGTGCTGGAGTTTGCCTTTGTGTTTACACAAAGCGATGACCCCAAGTGACAGCATTTAACTCTTAACAGATTGATAAACATGTCCAGCTGCCACGAGAGTGGCATGTATGTCCAAATTTCAAGTGACAACAATCGACCCTCAGATTAAAATCTTTTACCTTAGGAAGACTAAACTTCTCTGTCACAGTCTGTGTCAGTGGAAAGTCAGACTCGTAGAATAGCACTTTCACTTCTTAAGTTATTGGACAAATTGAGACTTTGATCTTACATCACAAAGGCAGCATCATTGGGCAGGAACTTTACCGCCTTGATTATCATTGACTAAGGAGAAAAGAACAGAGGCAAGGTGGATGATGGGACTACTGTCAACTGATGTCAAATGACATTACGGTGGTCTTTATGTATGAGGGTCTTAAGATAATTCAAACTGAAAACATTAGCAGACAAACAGAGTCAACACTTGGTACATATTGGACAAAGCGTAGTGAACTCAATAGACACTTCGGCAAAACATCACCCATCGCATTCAATCAACATTGTTCATTTGACTTTTATTAGTACTGCAACTCTGTATTTCCTTGGTAATTTTGACAATTGTATGAGAGCTGTGAGCGTGAGCGTAAGAAATTTGCACCTAGTGATAATGTTTTTACATTTTAAACCTCAGAATTTTTTAAACTCTGTCATCCTGCGGTGCCATCAGAATTATATTCATTTAATACATCCCTACACCACTCAAATTTGAGAAATCCTAGTGCAGTGGAATGAGCATAGATTGATAAACAGAACTGAGTTGAAATCCTGCCTCTGCCACATAGAAACACTGCGATCTTGGGCCATCCCTTCACCTTTCTGGGTCTCGGTTTCCTCATCTGAGTAGAAATAATAACATTAGCCACACAATTTGGCTGTGAGAATTTCAAAAGCTATTTTATGGAAAGTGCCAGACATGTAGTAGGCACTCCCTAAAAGTTAATTTCCTGCCCTGTTCTCTAAGGCTTTTGTTTTGTTTTTTTGTTTGTTTGTTTGCTTTTTGTTTTTTGTTTTTTGTTTTTTGAAACAGTCTCGCTCTGTCGCCTAGGCTGGAGTGTAGTGGTGCCATCTCGGCTCACTGCAACCTCCGACTCCCAGGTTCAAGTGGTTCTCCTGCCTCAGCCTACCAAGTAGCTGGGACTATAGGCACACACCACCACACCCAGCTAATTTTTTGTATTTTTAGTAGAGACGGGGTTTCACCATGTTAACCAGGATGGTCTCAATCTCCTGACCTCATGATCCGCTCGCCTCAGCCTCCCAAAGTGCTGGGATTATAGGTGGAGCCACCGTGCCTGGCCCTTCTCTAAGTTTTATTCCCATCTGCAGGCCATTCTGTTGTCTCTCTCCTTCCTTTCAAAAGTGGAGGCAAGACCAGAGATAGCAGCCACATCCAATATCATCAATTCTTGCCTGACTGTGTCCATTTCATTCTTTCTGACTTGTCAGGACTAGAGAAAGGTAAGCCCTGGTGGCTAACAGGAAGGCAGAGAGGTAGAGCCGGCGCTTAGGCCATACAGCTGCCACCTGTCTCCCCAGGAAGGGAAAGCCAGTCGCTCATGTAAGGGCAGCAAGGAGACCTGGCAGCAGACTGGGGCAGCCTCTGCAGCCTGGGATGTGACAGAGGAGCAGCTGCCTCTGAGGGGCCCCTGCAGGCACACTTGGCTGCTTTCCTCTGGGTTTCACCAGGTTCTAGTCCAGATGAAGACGCAGCCATATGGTGGCAAGTTCCTCTTGGGAAGAAAGGGGAGGTTGGTCCCACCAAAACCCAATGGAGCAAAGTCACAGAGAAGAGGCTGGCAGTGTCCTGGACCCAGAGTCCTGGAAGCCATCCAGAAGCCACCTGGTGTCACCAGCACACAACTCAGAATTCACTACCTGTCCCTTCTCCTGCCCTCCACCTCCACCCAGGATGGCACTTAGAATCAGACAATCATACTGCACATGTTTATTGATTAGCTGCCATGGCCAGGTAAATACTGCAGAGCTCCAATGCTTATACTCTTGGCAAGCAGCTAAAACGTGTAGGACTTTTAAGGTTCGGGTTGATGGTTACCAACCCTTAGAATGTGGCAGGTGTTCAACACAATTTATTTCACCTAATTTTCCCAGAGCTCCTCAAACGCAGGAGCTAGTATGCCATTCTACAGGTGAACAAACAGGCTCAGGGAAGTTAAGCAGAGAGGTGATGAAGTCAGAGTTCAGTCATTGGGCTGTCTGATTCTAAAGCCCATATCCATCCCATCACACCACATTGCCTTTTGAATTTAAGATGGGAAAAGAGACTGATGTTTTATTGACTGCCTACTAGATGCCCAGGATCAGGGTTTTACTGGATTTCTTCCTTTTAAACTTATAATAAGCCTATGGGGCAGATATGATTATATATCTTTTTCAGATGAGGAAACAGACTCAGATTAAGTAAATTGGCTCAACATGAATAGCTGGTAAGTGACAAAGCCAAGGTTTACACCAGATCTGTCTGCCTCCAAAAGCTGGTATACTTCCTCTCATTTAGTTCCCTCCTCTGAGCAAATGACCAGATTACAGCATTTCCAGCATGACTGATACAATGCTTTTACCTGCCCTCTGAATTAACATACATAGAACACCTACTTTGCTTTCAGCCCTGTACTAGGCTCTGTAATGGATTTTTAAAAAATAGTTTCTGCTCCTAATCCCCAAGGAACATCTATCCAGATAGATCAACATGAAACATAAAGAAAGAATATTAAATATGTCTGTGCTCTTCAAGACTGGAACATGGAGAAATACCAATCTCCCCACCCCCATGACCTGGTCTAGCAAGTTCCTAGTCATGTTCAAGGTCTCAATTTCAACATGGATGCCTTGGGAGAGACTTCATTGAAAACCCAAACTAGGTTACATCCCAGTTACACATCTCCAGGAGCCCAGAATTCCACTTCCCAACACCCACATGCACCATAACTTGGTCAATGTCTGTGTCCCTTTCCTGGCCTGTGTGATTCTTGAGGGAAGGGATGGTCTCTGATTCATTCACCACTCTCCCCAGTGCCCAGCATCCCTTTGCCTATCACAATGCCCAACACAGAGTAGAAAATAAATAGATCATCATGGTATAAATGAATAGTGCATTAGTCAGGAAAGACTTCATAAAGGAGGCAGGATTTTAGTTGTGCTTTGAAGAATATGGAAGACTCAAATAGGTCCTGAGAAAGGAGATGGCAGTTGAAGCAGAGAGAACTTTATGAGCCAAGCAAGCAGGATGCAATGGTGTTGGGTCACCCAGGTCTGTATAGGGAACGAAATGCATCTCAACCCCTGCTTCATACCATACAGAAAAAAAAAAATCAATTCCAGATGGATTACAGATCTCAATGAAAAAGGAAAACAGTCACACTTTGTCCAGACCTCTATCAGCAATACTCTCTAGTTTCCAGGAACTTACACTCTCGCTGGGGAGACAGGTGAATGGGAACAATTGGAGACAGGAAAATCCGGTGAATCGTAAGGCGCTAGACTATGGCGTGCAGCCTTACCAAGATAAATCCCAGTAGTGAAAGACAGGTATTTAATATGTCTTATCTAAAATGCAGCTGCATGAAAAATGCATCAGAAATTCAAGGATAGAATTCTAACAAGGGAGAATTTTAATAATAATTCAATATTAAAATAACTCAACAATAATAAGTAACATTTACAGAGTTCTTAGTATGTATCAGGCACTTCTCTAAGCATCACACCAAATTAACTCATTTGACCTTCACACAACACTAGGAGGATTATTCTTTTCTTATCTCCATATCACAGATGAGGACACCAGGGCAACAAGAGGTTAAGTAATTCAAGGACATTGTCACTCAAGGGACACGAGATCTGGAGTCAGATGACATAAGTTTCTGAGTTGAGGGTCTTTGGGGCAAATGATTTTACTTTTCTGAGCTCTGGATTTGAAAAATAGGAGAGATAAACACTCCATCTACCACGTGTGTGGTTGAATAATATTATGTGAGGAATAAATAAGAGAATGTTTGAACATAGACACACTTTCATACCTTGACATGCAGTACATCTGTGAGTTCTTTCTTTTTTTAACTAACACAATTTTTTTAACTAACACTATTTTTTTTAACTAACACTATTGTGACATTATTTCTTTGGAAAGCAGAAAGCTAAATCAGACTGTTCCACAAATATTTACTGAGCACCTGCTACATGCCAGTCATGGGTCTATACTCTGGTGCTGCAACAGTGAGCAGAGCAAAGCCCCGCCCTCGTGGATCGTCCATTCTAATGGGACTAACAGTAAACATAAAAATAAATAAAAATGTGATAGTGGTAAGATGAATGCAGGGTACGTGATAAGAAGAAAATTAACCCAGCTGGGGGAACAGAGAATGATGGTCATATCATTTTTGTCCTGAATAAGTGAGGAGCCCATCATGCGGATGCAAAACAAGAGCATTCTAGACAGGGGAGCCATGGTGCAAGAGGCCCAGAGGGGAAGTCTGCTTGTTGTATGGAAAGAGAAATCAGGAATCCAGTGTGGCTGAGCAGTCAGATTGTGGAAAGCGGCAGTTGAGCGTAGCAGTCATCACAGACTAAACCAAGAAGGGCCCTGCAGGTGTGGTACCCATGAGATACAGGAAATCCAACCACTGGGCAGTAGTTTGTGCAGTTTGTTCACTAGTCTTATCTGTGAGATTCCTGCCAATCACTACAAACCTTGTACACACACTTGCCCTCCCAACCAAATCAGATGCAGCCTTATAGGCTGTAGTGGACATATGGCTGCGAATACCTTCATTCAATTCATTTATTCTCCAGACATTTACTGGGCACCTGGTGCAAGCCAAAGCCCTGGATGGGCAGTGGAGGTACATTGTGAACAAAATACACATAGTCCGTTCTCCAAGAGCAGACCTCTGCTAGAGAGGGAGATAGGAAGTAAACTGCATCACAGTGACAGAGGCCCTTGTCATCTGGCACCGCTCAAGAGATGAGGCAAGGACAAGGGAAGCTTGGAAAGGCGAAATGCATTCTTCCCCCAGACTCCGAAGCTTCTTTCTCCATGTGCAGTAAGTCCACGGACATAAGCCATTATGTCAGTACTGCCAATTCCAGATCTCAGCTAGTAACGAGCAAATGGATCGTTGCAAACCACAGAAAATCCCCAAACCTCCTTTGAGTCAATAGGTGTGTTCTCTTCCCTCCACAAGCTTTTCAGTAACTACGCTAAGCCCAGCAAAATTGATTATGGCATCACAGGCCTCACCACTTGCTGCTCCCACCACCCTGCCTGCTCTCTGTGGATGTGCTGACCCGGGGCTGGATGGTGCTTGGGTGCATCGGAAACATGAGAGGGTGGACAGGCTGCCTCTGCCTCTGCCTCAGGATACAATGATGAATGCAGCAGCTCTTCAAGGGGCTTTCACACCAGTGGAGGAGACAGGCAAGGAAGCAGGCCACAGGCCTTTCAATGTAGTCCAGGAATGTCGCCATACCAAAGAGTGCGGGGTGCCATGGGAACCAGAAGGAGCTGCCGGCTCAGGATTTGGGGTGATGTGGGGGAAGGGACAGTCTTCAAGGAAGCCTTCCTCAAGGAAATGATGTGTAAACTGAGCACTAAGGCATCAATAGGGAGTATCCAGGGGTGGGCAGAGAGGAGAAGTGATAGAGAAGTGAGTTGGGAAGGACAGCCAGGAAGCACGTGGCAAACGTCCAGAGATAGGAGAGAGCGTGGTGGGTCCTGGGACTTACAACAGGATGTAGTTTCTGAAGATCAAAGCAGCTGTCGAATTGTGGTGGACCCTGTTGACCTTGTCAAAGAGTTTGGACGTCATCCTGTAGGAATGGGGAGGCACTGAGGAGAGGCAGCTCCGATTTCACCTTTTGTAAATCACAGTGACTACAGAGTGGAAGTAATCAGTGGTAGGGAAGAGGGAAGCAGGGGAGCCACTTGGGGGTTGGAGGGTGTTCTGAGAGTGCAGGGAACGGTTGGTAGGGGTCCAGATTCAAGACATGTTAAAGAATTGGCGATTTGCTGGGAGTGGAGATGAAGAGGTAGAAATCAAGGATGACTCCAAGGTTTGCAGCTTGGGAAATGGGCTGGAGGAAGGCATGATTTATTATTGAGCCAGCATAAGAGGATGGGGGAAATGGACACTAAGTTCAGGTTGAGGTTCAGATATCTGTGGGATATTCACGGGGGGACAGCCAGCGCACCAAGAACTCAAGGGAAAGAAGACAGGACTGGGTTGTATATAAAGACTTGTGGGTCATCAGTATGTAAGTGAAAACGGAAGCCAGAGATGAGATTTCTGAGGAACATATGTAGAATGAAAAGAGAAGACAGCCAAAGAGAGAGCCCCAGAAACACCAAATGTACAAGATAATCAGAGGAAGAGGACCTTGCAAAGGAGTCTGAAAATGAACAGGAAGAAAACCAAGCAACCTTGAGGACCCAGACGCCAAGGGAAGACGGCACATCAAGAAAGAAGCCAGGTGGTCAGATTACTCAAATCATGTCAACGGTGCATAGCAAAAGCTGTAGGGGCATGTGTAGATGCTGACTGTAGGGACATGTATAGAAATGCCTCCCACACTAGCACTTGAGGGAGAAAGGTATTAGAAACCTTTGCATTTTGCTTTTTCATTACTCCCTGCTGTGCATGAAAGTACAGGTGTGAAATCCAAGATTCATTTACTGCAGTGTTCCCCAAAGAGTGATCCAAAGATTGTAGCCCCGTGAGATGAAAGACACACATGCACACACACACACACACACACACACACACACACAGAGAGCCTGTAATGAAATGAACTTTTGGAAACATTGAGCACTATATTCCCACATTAGAGTTTGACAATGCAGTTAGCATAGTAAAGGCACAGAAAAGCCCTGAGGTAAGGAAACCTATTTAACCTCCCCTTGTTCAGCATTTCCCAAACTTACTTGCCAGTGGAACCCCTTTATTTTGTATCTCCTCTTAGCATCTCCTGGGGCTGGAATCAGCAGAATGAACTTTGGAAATCACAGCATTAGCGGGAAAGGATGTGTCTAATGGATGAAATACCTGCAGCCGGTAAACCACTGGTAAAAAGCATCCTCTCCCAAGCTTAGGACAAAAGACTTCTTTGGTCTGGGTTCTCTCATTCATTCATTGAGCTAAAACATATCAGGCATCTGCTAAGTGGTAGCAAGCTGGAAGGTGGTGGAGGGGGTATGTTTGGGAAAGTGAGGATTGAGGAGCGTGGGAAGCACATTCTTTGGACATGTGTTGTGTGCTCGTGGTGGAGCGTATGACCAGCCAAATAACCAGGCGGATGCTGGCCAAGTGAGAGGGTTGTGGGAAGAGGCATAACCAGGAGGTGGCCTCTCTCCTCCAAGAAGTTATGAGATTTCCAGGGACGATAAACTATGAATGTACGGAAGATATTGGCTGGTAAAAACAATGAAGAAAACTAGTAAGGATCTCAGGGACTTAGGAGGCTAGAGTCTTTTACTCCAGGCAGAGTAGAAGATTATTCTCAATGTGGTTGTAGTCAATACCATTTATTAAGCATCTACTATGTGCCAGGCACCTTATGTTATACTAATATAGTAATGGCTGACATTTAATGAATCCCTACTATGCATAAAGTACTCTTCTAAGTCCATTACAAATATTAGCTGGCCTATCCTTCCAATACCCCAGTAGATACTTATCATTGTATTCTCCAATAAAGAATGTAAGGCACTAAGAGGTGACATGTCTTACCCGAGGTCATGGCTAGTAAGTGGCAGCCCTGAGATTTGAACCCACACAGGCTGGTTCTTCCAGATATTATACTCTTATGCATTACATTCTATATCTAATAAAATGTCCTACTGATACTTGAACTTGGATTGCTGGAGTCTGCAGCTAAAGTGCTTACCATTAAGCCCTGGAACCACCCACATTATTTATGCTCTTTAATCTTCACAACCATGTTTTGACATTGGTGTTATTAACCCGGTTTACAGAGGAGGCTCAGGGTATCCACACAACTCATAGCCAGCAGCACTGACACTCCTGAATTCGTGGAGTCTGATGCTGAAACTCATGGTCCCAGGTCTCTACTCCCTTGTCCCCGAGACGGCTATCATTTTTACAGGCTGGAATTGGGGATGATGGTCAGCAGATTTCACAACTGCTGAGGCCTCGGTCCTGACCAGACAGAACAGACGCCGGCCACAGTGCTAGAACAACAGCCTGGAGACCCGCGGCTGGTCAGACTCCCACACTTTAGTTGCTGGGGAGGCTCAAGAGATCCCAGTGGAGGGGCTGGAGGGACCAAAGCAGTGGGCAGAAGGGGCATTTCGGGGTGCTTGGACAGCAGGCATTTTATCAACTCATATTTGACTATTGATGTAGCTATATCAGTACCTGCCTGCCTGATGTCAGTCCTGGCCAGGATCACAAACACAGCTGTTTACCAGTTCCTGGCAGCCTTGAGCTTCATTGCCCTTGGACTCTGGGCCAAGTGGGCTTAAAGGCAGTTCCCCTGTCCAACATTTGCCTCTGAAGAGTCTGCACCTGACCTGGGGTCATAGCCCTGAGTCTCAAATAGGTCAGGTTCATTTGCATCATTCTGTGGTCACATGCTGCAGCCACAATCCTAGCATATGCAGAGTTCCAAGCACAGAATGGGCCGGGACCCTCCATCACCTCTACCAGAAATGCCAAAAAGCAGTGCCCTTGAGCCCGAATCTATAGAGGGCAGCTCTCAAGGCTGGGAGGCACCATCCCAGCCCCCGCAGTCCCTTGACAGCGCTGCAGATCCCCACACACAACACCCTTAAGTAGCTCCTAATTGAAGGGCTTGCCAAGCCCTCTGTGCATTGTGGATCTAATTAAGTTCCGACATCATATCAAATTGAATCCTTTTATTAAACATTTATCTTCAGATTCCAGAGTGTCACAACACCACATTGTTTTAAATGACAGGAATGCAAACAGTGTTTGCCTTCCCAATGGCAACTAAAGCAGCCACTGCTGACCAGAGCCACGGGGAGTAGGGAGGTGGGGAGTAGCCTTGGGGGTCTTCCCCGTGCCCACTCTTCCTAAGCGAGGGTGGCAGAGGCCTTGGCGGTCTCCCCAAGAACCCCTACCTCTCCCACACATATGCAACAACTGGTGCAACCAACTCAGCCTCCCTGACCTTGGTCTTCGCTGAGCTGTCTGGATCAGCTGCAACTTCTCTCAGTAACTTTCCTTGTCCCATGGAAGCCCCATTCCTCCTGGGGATTGTGGTAGGAGGTGGCCCCGCTTTCTCATCTGCTTCTCTGTGGACAGGCTGGCTTTGGGGGTCACTCCTCTGTCCTCCCCTGCCCCTCATCTGTGAAGATTTCAGAGCAAAGATTCTGGCCTTCTCATCCTGATCTGCCTCCCTGGCACAGAGAAGGCTTCCAAAGTGTTTTTATTCAATTAGTCAATCACTCATTAAAGACTAACTCTTGCCCTCAGCTTTGTAGTCTCAATACCACTCTTTACACTTGTCCCAGGGACCATCACGGTCTGGGGGACTGATTCCTCCCAATCACGCTCTGGGGAGCTGATTCCTCCCAATCACGCTCTACGGGGCTGACTCCTCCCAATCACGCTCTGGGGAGCTGATTCCTGCCCAATCACGCTCTAAGCGGCTGATTCCTGCCCAATCACGCTCTAAGGGGCTGATTCCTCCCAATCACGCTCTGGGGAGCTGATTCCTGCCCAATCACGCTCTAAGGGGCTGATTCCTCCCAGTCACTCTCTGGGGGACTGATTCCTGCCTGATGACATTCTGGGATACTGATTCCTGCCGGATCACACTCTGGGAAACTGATTTCCTCCCTGATCACACACTGGGGGACTTATTCCTCCCAATCACACTCTGGGGTGCTGATTCCTGCCTGACCGTGCTCCGGGAGGCTCTCTGAGGGGACTGATCCCTGCCTGATCACGCTCTGGGAGACTGATTCCTGCCCGGTCACGCTCTGGGGGGCTGATTCCTGCCTGATCATATTCTGGGGGGTTGATTTCCTGCCTGATCATGCTCTGGGGGCTGATTCCTCCCTGTCATGGTTTGCGGGGCTGATTCCTGCTCGATCAAACTCTGGGGAACTGATTCGTCCTGATCATGCTCTGGGGGACTGATTCCTGCCTGATCACATTCTGGGGGGTTGATTCCTGCCTGATCATGCTCTGTTGGCTGATTCCTCCCAATCATGCTCTGGGGGGCTGATTCCTGCCCGATCACGCTCTGGGGGGTTGATTCCTGCCCGATCACGCTCTGGGGGGCTGATTCCTGCCCAATCACGCTCTGGGGGGCTGATTCCTCCCGATCACGCTCTGGGGGGCTGATTCCTGCCCGATCACGCTCTGGGGGGCTGATTCCTGCCCAATCACGCTCTGGGGGGCTGATTCCTGCCCGATCACACTCTAGGGGGTTGATTCCTCCTGATCACGCTCTACGGGCTGATTCCTGCCCGATCACACTCTAGGGGGTTGATTCCTGCCGGATCACGCTCTGGGGGGCTGATTCCTCCCGATCACGCTCTGGGGGGCTGATTCCTGCCCGATCACGCTCTGGGGGGCTGATTCCTGCCCGATCACACTCTAGGGGGCTGATTCCTGCTCAATCATGCTCTGCGGGGCAGATTCCTGCCCGATCACACTCTGGGGGTGCTGATTCCTGCCCGATCACACTCTGGGGGGCTGATTCCTGCTCAATCACGCTCTGGGGGTGCTGATTCCTGCCCGATCACGCTCTGGGGCTGCTGATTCCTGCCTGATCACGCTCTAAGGAGCTGATTCCTGCCCGATCACACTCTAGGGGGCTGATTCCTGCCGATTAGACTCACAAGAGACTCACATATCCATATACATGAACGGCTTCTGAGGCAGAATCCTCTCTCCTGGGGTGAGGGACAGTGCTGAGAAAAACCAGAGGCTCTGCAGGTGAGAGGTCACCTGGAAACACTGAGAGTCACATTTTATTCATTCTTTTTCTAGATTTGATAATGCCAGGCCTTCCTGTGATAACAACAACAATAATAATTAACAATAGCTAGCAGGTACTGAGAGCTCACTGCATGTACTGTTCAAAGAGCTCACATGTAGATTAACTTAGTTAACCCTCACAAGAAACTGTGAAATAGGTAATGATATTATTCCAGTTTACAGTAAGGAAACTGAGGCTCAAAGAGGTTAAATATATGTTCATAACATCAGGTTCATTTGAAAAAAAAAAAAAGATGTTGAGGAATTTGCCCAAGGCAAATACACACCCAGGTAGTCTGATAGCATCAGTCCTGAGTCCCTATTAAAAATAATGGCTAACATTTATCACCTCTATGAACCTCCAGTTTCTCACCTGTAGAACAGGCTCATTAATAGAACCTACCCAAGGGGTTGATGTGATGAGTACATCAGATGATATATGAAGCATTGGGACAGAGAGGATTTTTAAAGTCTCCCATATCTACTGAGAGAGAGAGAACAGAAAGTATTCAGTTCAATCCCTGTCCTCGATGCAATTCCGTTAGGAAAATGACACACAAGCTTGTGAAATCTGAAATAAGACAAGACAGCAATACAAGAGATGTCATGGGGTAGCCTGTGGTAAATTGCCAGCTGAGTGATCTTAGAGGTAAAGGCAGTGATGAAAGGAGGGAGAGGCAGCTCGGGCTGTGAGGATCAGGGAAGGCTTCTTAGAATCCCTGCTTCCAAGGGATAGAAGGAACCTCAGAATCCCAGCTACTGTAGAAATTCTCTCTTCAGCATCCCTAAGAGGCAGCTGAACCCCCTCTGTTGGTACCCCTCCAGTGACAGGTAGCTCACTACCTTGGGAGGCAGCTCTGAAAACACAACACTTACCCGGATATCAACCTGACCTCTCCTTCCCTACACAGGGCCCAACTAGGGTAAAGCAAGCAAGGTGCAAAGTTGGAGATGCTTACGGGACTCCTTAAATTTTGCACCCTAGATGTCTCACCCTAGTCTCGGGTCTACCTGTACATTACCACCTGTGGCTTCTAGCTCTGCTGTCCAGAGTGAAATGGGTGTTGTTTTAGGTGGAGAAGAGAGGAGAGCTTAATTCGGCTGGGAGAGCATGATGGCAGAGTCAGAGCTGAGAAGATGAGAGTTTTGGATCTGATTGGATCTAGCTGGGAATCCTGGTTCTATGTGACAGGCAATGGAGGCAATGGAAATCTTTGAGATTTCTGAGCAGGGGTGTGTCTTTGGCCTGGAAATGGGAATGTGGCTACATGGGCATCCTCAGGCCTGTGGGTCCTCGTTGCACGAGCTATTTCCGCTCTCATGGGTTAATGGTGTAGGTGGTGTTTGAGCACTCTGGCTTGACTCTATGCCACAAAACTGAATATACATATGTGATTAAAATGGACCAAGGGGACCAGGTGCAGTGGCTCACATCTGTAATCCCAGCACTTCGGGAGGCTGAGAGGTGAAAGAATCACTTGAGCCCAGCCTGGGAAACGTGATGAAACCCTGTCTCTACAAAAAATACAAAAATTAGCTGAGCATGATTGCGCGTGTCTGTAGTCCCAGCTACTCAGGAGGCTGAGATGGGAGGATCACCTGTCACCTGAGCCTGGGGAGTGCAAGGCTGCAGTGAGCCGTGATTGTGCCACTGTACTCTGGCTGGGGTGACAGAGCAAGTCCCTGGCTCAAAAAAAGAAAAGGGCCAAGACAGGTTTGGGGAAATCTGTGGTTAGAAAATTAAGGTATATTTTGCCAAGTAGGAAAGGCCACAAGCATTTTTCACCCGATGGAGGAATCTGGGCCCATGGCTTCTGGTCTTGCCCCTCCAGTCCTTTCCCCACTCAGCCACCAGGGCAAACAGATCTGGTCACATTAACCTCCTACTTAAAACCCCTCAGTGGCTCCCCATTGCTCGTAAGTTCACACATATACACTCACAGACATACACACACACCACACACATACAAACACACCACACACAGACATACACATAATACCTACACACACCCATATAAACACATACACACATATACACACACATGCATACACACACCACAGACACACACACAGACTCACACACAGACATACACACGTACACATACATACACACACACAGAGACCCACAGACACACACATCACACAGACATACACACACACATACATACAAACACATACACACACACACACACACACACGCACAGCCCAACCGTCTGGTTTCCGTCCTCTAAATGACACTTCTGGCTTCAGCATCCTGTCCTCTCTCTGGTTGGCCCTCACTTGCTCTTCTCTCAAACACCTCCCTGCCCTCCCTTTCATCTGCCAATTTTTACTTATCCTTCACGGCTCATCCGAGATGGTGCTTCTTCCAGGAAGCCTTCCTGACAACCTGCCAGTACCCAGATTATGCCATGCACTGTCCCTACTACCCAGCATCCTGTACTGTGCTGTAACAGTGCAGCCCAGCAGTCACCTAGAACCTCCTGCCCGGGGTCAGAGCCCAGCTCTTTCACTTACACGAGCAATGAATCTTTAGAGGCGTTCCTTCACCCCTCTGTCCCTCCACTTCCATATCTCTAATGTACGGAGACTAATAGCGTCCACCTCAACAGGCTTGTTGTAAAGTGCTTGGCCCCATGCCTGGCTCATGGCAGCTTGTTCCCGGCGACCAGCCAACGCCCTCGCTGCCCTTGTGGTTTCATTCTGGGTCGTCTGCATTAATTATTTGTCTAGGGTCCTCTCAAGACTCAGCTCTGGGGGACGGGGAATCCGTCTGTATTGATCCCTTCTCTGCTGTGGAACCTAGCTCAACACCAACACCTAGTAACCACTTGATAAAAATTCAAGGACGAGCTGAAGTACTGAACTGAAAGATGAACACCTTGTCCGAGAGCACATGGTTAATACACGGCAGAAAGAGAACTCAGACCCACGCTCTCCTGCGAGAGGCACAGCCACCACACCACAGGGCTTCTTAAGATGAATTTAGGGCTGTTGACACATGACAGTGTTTATTCATTATCCGCCTACTCCAGGGACTCTGGGGTTGACAGAGTCATTTGAACCATCCTGTTTCATAGGATCTAAGTGCATGCGGTTCCCATAGCTCCTTGGGCAGGCTCTCTTGGCACAGCAGAGTGTAATCACCGGTCTCTCCCCTACTAGTCTGTGAGCTTCTTCAAAGTAGAGACTGTGTGATCTATCTGTGCCCCGACCGTGGGGCCCAGCAAAACATAATCACACCTACCTCTTAGCGAGCTAGGTGACAGCCACTGTGCTGAGCCCTCTCAATGCAGTGTTTTATGCAATTCTCACAACTCTATGACAGAAGTTTAACTGACTCCTCATTTTACAGTGGAGGAGCCAACGCTCAGGTTCAGTGGCATAACTAGAATGTGGACCCAGGTAGCCAGCCTCCAGACCCTGTGAAGCTAACCACTGAGCATCACTGCCTCTCTCATACAGGCAGACTTGGGAGATACTGAGGATTCGGTTCTGGATCACCACAATACACCAGATATCATAACATAGTGAGTCACACAAATTTTTTGGTTTCCTAGTGCATATAAAAGTTATGTTGGGGCCGGGCATGGTGGCTCATGCCTTTAATCCCAGCACTTTGGGAGGCCAAGGTGGGTGAATCACTTGAGGCCAAGGGTTCGTGACCAGCCTGGCCAACATGGTGAAACCCCATCTCTACTAAAAACACAAAAAGTAGCCGGGCATGGTGGTGGGCACCTATAGTCCCAGCTACTCAGGAGGCTGAGGCAGGAGAATTGCTTGAACCCAGGAGACAGAGGTTGCAGTGAGCTGAGATCATGCCACTGCACTCCAGCCTAGGCAAAAAAGTGAGAATCTGTCTCAAAAAAAAAGTTATGTTGGGCCAAGGGCAGTGGCTTACACCTGTAATCCCAACATTTTGAGAGGCTGAGGCAGGAGGATTGCTTAAGCCCAGGAGTTTGAGACCAGTCTGGACAACATAGTGAGACCCCCATCTCTACAAATAAAAAATCAGCCAGTCGTGGTGACACATATCTGTGGTCCCAGCTGCTCAGGAGACTGAGGTGGGAGGATTGCTTAAGTCCAGGAGGTCAAGGCTGCAGTGAGCTATAATTGTGCCATTTCACTCCAACCTGGGTGACCGAGTGAGATTCTGTCTCAAAAAATATATGTTATGTTTACACTATACTGTAGTCTATTAAGTGTGCAATAGCATTATGTCTGAGAAAACAATGTACATACATAATTTTAACATATTTTATTGCTAAAAATGCTACTGACCATCTGAGCCTTCAGTGTGCCATCATCTTTTTGCTGATGGAGGGTCTTGCCTCGATGTTGATAGCTGCTGATTGACCAGGGTGGTGGTTGCTGAAGGTTGGGGTGGTTGTGCCAATTTCTTAAACTAAGACAACAATGTAGTTTGCCACATCAATTGATTCTTCCTTTCGCAAAAGATTTCTGTATAGCAAGTGATATTGTTTGATATATTTTTATCCACAGTTGAACTTCTTTCAAAGTTGCAATCAATCTTCTCAAACCCTGCTGCTGCTTTATCAACTAACTTTATATCATCTTCTAAATACTTTATCATCATTTCAGTGATGTTCACAGCATCTTCAACAGGAACAGATTCCATCTCAGGAAACCACTTTCTTTGCTTATCCATAAAAAGCCACCTCTCATCCACTCAAGTTTTATCATGAGATTGCAGCAATTCACTCACATCTTCAGGCTTCACTTCTAATTCTAGCTGTTTTCCTATTTCCAGAACATCTGAATTACTTCCTCTTCTGAAATCTTGAACCCCTGAAAGTCATCTATAAGGGTTGGAACCAATTCTTCCAAATTCCTGTTAATGTTGATACTTTGACCTCCTCCCATGAATCACAAATGTTCTTATTGGCATCTAGAATGTTGAGTCCTTTCTAGAAGATTTTTTTATTTACTTTGCCCAGATCCATCAGAGGAATCACTGTCTCTGGCAGCTATAGCCTTATGAAATGTATTTCTTAAATAATAAGACTTCCAAGTCAAAATTACTTCTTGATCCATGGGCTGCAAAATAGATGTTGTGTTAGCAGGCATGAAAACAACATTCATCTCCTTATACATCTCCATCAGAGCTCTTGAGAACCAGGTGCATGGTAAATGAGCAGTAATATTTGGAAATCTTTCTGAGCAGTAGATCTTAATAGCGGGCTTAAAATATTCAGTAAACCATCCCATAAATAGATATGCTGCATGTAGGCTTTTTTGTCTCATTTATAGAGCACAGGTAGAGTAGATTTAGCATACTTCTTAAGGGCTCTAAAATTTTTAGAATGGTAAATGAACCTTGGCCTCAACTTAAAGTCACCAGTTGCATTAGCCCCTATCAAGAGAGTTAGCCTGTCTTTTGAAGCTTTGAAGCCAACCATTGACCTCTCTTGCTATGAAAATCCTAGATGGCATCTTCTTCCAATAGAAAGCTGTTGCATCTACCTTGAAAATTTGTTGTTTAGTGTGGCCACCTTCATCAATGATCTTAACCAGATCTTCTGGATGATTTGTTGCAGCTTCTCCATCAGCACTTGCCCCTTCACCTTGCACTTTTCTGTTATGGAGACAGCTTCTTTCTTAAACCTCATGAACCAACCTCTGCTAGCTTCCAGCTTTTCTTCTGCAGCTTCCTCACCTCTCTTAGCCTTCATACAATTGAAGAGAGTTAGGGCCTTACTCTGGATTAGGCTTTGGCTTAAGGGAATGTTGTGTCTGGTTTGATCTATCCAGACTGCTCAAAGTTTCTCCATATCAGCAAATATATTTCACTTTCTTATCATTCATAGAGAGTAGCACTTTTAACTTCCCTTAATAACTTTCCCTTTGCATTCATATCTTGGCTAACTGTTTGACTTAAGAGGCCTAGCTTTCAGCTTGTCTGGGCTTATGACATGCCTTCCTCACTAAGCTTAATTGTTTCTAGCTTTTGATTTAAAGTGAGATATGTTCAACTCTTCCTTTCACTTGAACTCTTAGAGGCCATTGTAGGGTTATTAATTGCCCTAATTTCAGTATTGTCATGTCTTAGAGAATAGGGGGGTCCAAGGAGAGGGGGAGAAACAGGGACATGGCCAACTGGTGGAACAGTCAGAACATACATAGCATTTATCAATTAAGTTCGTCATCTTATATAGTGCAGTTCTTGGCACTCCAAAACAATTACAATGGTAACATCCAAGATCACTGATCACAGATCGCCATAACAGATGTAATAATAATGAAGAAGTAGTCCGGGCGCAGTGGCTCACGCCTGTAATCCCAACACTTTGGAAGGCTGAGGCAGGCGGATCACCTGAGGTCAGGAGTTCAAGACCAGCCTGGCCAACATGGCGAAACCCCGTCTCTACTAAAAATACAAAAATTAGCTGGGCGTGGTGGCGGGTGCCTGTAATCCCAGCTACTCGGCTAGCTGAGGCAAGAGAATCGCTTGAACCTAGGAGGCAAAGGTTGCAGAGAGCCGAGATCGCACCACTGCACTCCAGCCTGGGTGACAGAGCAAGATTCTGTCTCAAAAAATATATATATATATATTTTTAGAATGTGTTTAATAATAAATACATATAAAAGACTATTTTAACAAACAACAAAATGAAAGGGCAATGTACAGATTGGGAAACACATTTGCAAACCATATATTAGATAAGGGTTAATATCTGAGTTTTTAAACATATATTCTTGTTTAAACTAAAGTCTCAATATCCAAGATTTATAAAGAACACATACAACTCAATAGCAAGAAAATGTATAACACAATTTAAAAATGAGCAGAGGACTTTAATAGGCATTTCTCCAAAGATGACATTAAAATGGCCAATAGGTAAATGGAAAAGTGTCCAACGTCACTAATCTTCAGGGAAGTGCCAATCAAAATGACTGTGAGATACCACTTCTCACCCGTTAGGAGAGCTATTATCAAAAGACATGAGATAACGAGTGTCGGCGAGGGTGTGGAGAAAAGGGAATCCTCGCACACTGTTAGGTGGGAATGTAGGTTGATGCCACCATTATGGAAAATAGTATGGAGTTTCCTCAAAAAAAAATAAAAATAGAACTCCCATATGACCCAGCAATATGTCTTCTGGTATATACCCAAAGGAAATGAAATCACCACCTTGTAATGATACCTACACTCCCCAGGCGCAGTGGCTCACGCTTGTAATCTCAGCCCTTCAGGAGGCCGAGGCGCATGGATCACAAGGTCAGGAGTTCGAGACCAGCCTGGCCCACATGGCGAAACCCTCTCTCTACTAAAAATACAAAAATTAGCCAGGCGTAGTGGCAGGCGCCTGTAATTTGGGAGCCTGAAGCATGAGAATCGCTTGAACCCAGGAGGCGAAGGTTGCAGTGAGCCAAGAGTGTGCCATTGCACTCCAGCCTAGGCAACAAAGGGAGACCCTGTCCCAAAAAAAAATAAAAAATAAAAAAGGTATCTACACTCCCATGTTCATTGCAGCAATACTCACAATAGCCAAAATATGGAAACAATCTAGATGTCCATCAATGGATGAATGAATAAAGAAACTGTGGTGTTTACATACAATGGAATATTATTTCTGATTCAGCCTTTAAAAAGGGAGAGATCTGTCATTTGCCACAACATGCATGAAACTGGAGGACAATACGCTAAGTGAAATAAGCCAGACACAGGAAGAAAACTATTTTATGACTCCACTCATATGTGGAATCTTTACCAAAAAAAAAAGTCAAATATCAAGTATGTAGAGATAGAGAATAAAACAGTGGTTACCAAGATCTGGGGTGAGAGGGAAGAAATGGAGAGATATAGGTCAAAGGATTCAAAGTAGCAAATATACAGGGTGAACAAGTCCAGAGCTCTAATGTACAACATGGGGACTATTGTTAATAATATTGTATTGTATTCAGGATTTTTGCTAAATGAGATTATAGCTGCTCCTGGCACACAGGGAAAAACTGGGTACTATGTGAGATGATGGATGTGTTAGTTTTTCCACTATAGCAACCATTTTGCTGTATATATGTAATCATACAACATCATGTTGGATACCTTAAAGTATACACAATAAAATGCACTTAAAAAAAATTTTAGGCCGGGAGCGGTGGTTCATGCCTATAATCTCAGCACTTAGGGAGGCCAGGGCGGGCAGATCACCTGAGGTTGGGAGTTCCAGACCAGCCTGGCCAACATAGTAAAACTCCATCTCTACCAAAAATACAAAAGTTAGCCAAGCTTGGTGGTGCGTGTCTGTAATTCCAACTACTCAGGAGGCTGAGGCACAAGAATCGCTTGAACTCGGGAGGCAGAGTTTGCAGTGAGCCAAGATCACACCACTGCACTCCAGCCTTGGCAACAGAGCAAGACTCCGTATCAAAAAAAAAAAAACAAATTTAAAAATCAAGCTTTTTTAAAGACTATTTTAACTTGTACAGGTTATGTTCATTAGGATTAGGCTTGGCTATAAAGTTTCCCGCATTTTTTTTTTTGTTTTTTTGGTTTATTTACCTAAAATTAAAAAGACAGGACGGGTGTGGTGGCATGCACCTGTAGTCCCAGCTACTCAGGAGACTGAGGCAGGAGGATCATTTAAGCCCAAGAGTTCGAGGTCACAGTGAGCTATGATCATGCCACTGCACTCCAATCTGGGTGACAAAGCAAGAACCTGTCTCTAAAAAAATTAAAAGTAAGAAAATAAAGATAGTTGATAGTTTATTTCTTTCTCGTTGCACAGCTCTGGAGATAAGTTATCCAAGACTGGTATAACACTCCATGGGAGTGTGGCTCAGATACCCTTTATCTTATTCTACCATCATGCAGCTCTCCATTCTCAAGATTGTCTCATTGACCAAGATGGCGGCTGGAGCTCCTTAGTCCACTTGCCAAGAGGAAAGGACTGAGAAGGGCACATCCCATGCCCTAAAGGCCATTCCTCCCAAGTTGTTCCCATCATTTCCACTCACATCCCATTGGCCAGAACTTTGTCACATGACCACCTCCAGCTGCAAGCGAGGCTGGGAACTAAAGCCTACGTTCTGGGAAGCCATATGTCCAGGCAAAACTTGAAAAGAACAAGACATATTTGGAAACAGCCTCTGTCACAGCAGGGAATAAAGAATAACAATAAAATGAAGAGTGCCTATGCACTCATTACGAAGTTAAAAAATAGAGCATTCCTAGGACATTGAAGCAGTTGTGTGCCCTACCCTATCTCAAGAAAACATTCTTTTTTTTTTCTTTGAGACAGGGTCTTCCTCTGTCACACAAACTGGAGTGCAGTAGCATGATCATGGCTCACTGCAGCCTCAACCTCCCAGGCTCTAGCAGTCCTCCTGCCTCAGCATCCCGAGTAGCTGGGACTACAGGTGTGCACCACCATGCTTGGCTAATTTTTTATTTTTTTGTAGAGACAGGATTTCGCCATGTTGCCCAGGCTGGGTTGGAACTCCTGGGCTCATGCGATCCTCCCACCTCCACCTCCCAAAGTGCAGGGATTACAGGTGTGAGCCACCACGCCCAGCTGCAAACACTCTTAAACTTGATGTTTATCATTCCCTTGCTTGACTTTACAGTTTTGCCACATACACATGTATTTCTAAATAATCTATAACATGTTTTTAACTTAATGAAAATGGAATCATACCATATGCATTTTTCTGCAGCTTGATTTTTTTCTGTCCAGTGTTATGTTTGTGGAATTCATCTGGGTTGACTTGTGTAGCTGTAATTCACTAACTTTCACTGCTGTACACTACATTACATCAATATACTATGCTATCATTTCTCCGATAATAGAAATCTGGGCTATTCCAAGTTTGTTGTTGTTATAAGCAGTGCTGTTATGAACATTCTCATACATCGTGTGCATGTATGCAAGTGTTTCTTCAACACACATTTCTAAGCAGAATTGCTGAGTTGCAGGCTATACGTATGTTTTGATATATTCAAATAGATTTGGATTGGGGGCAGGGTCTCACTCTGTCACCCAGGCTGGAGTGCAGTGACATGATCTTGGCTCACTGCAACCTCCGCCTCCCAGGTTCAAGCAATCTCCCACCTCAGCCTCCCGAGTAGCTGGGACTACAGGCGCGTGCCACCACACTTGGCTAATTTTTGTATTTTGGGTACAGACAGGGTTTCACCATGTTGGCCAGGCTGGTCTAGAACTCCTGATCTCAAGTGACCTGCCCACCTTGGCCTCCCAAAGTGCTGGGATTACAGGCGTGAGCCACCGTGCTCGGCCAGATATAGTCAAATAGGTGTCTTTTGTTTGTTCGTTTGTTTGTATTTTTGTTTTTGGGGAGTTGTTTTGTTTTGTTTTTAGACGGATTCTTGCTCTTGTCACCAAGGCTGGAGTACAATGGCACAATCTCGGCTCACTGCAACCTCTGCCTCCTGGGTTCAAGTGATTCTCAGGCCTCAGCCTCCCGAGTAGCTGGGATTACAGGCCCCCGCCACCAAGCCCGGCTAATTTTTGTATTTTTAGTAGAGACAGGGTTTCACCATGTTGGCCAGGCTGGTCTTGAACTCCTGACCTCAGGTGATCTGCCCACCTCGGCCTCCCAACGTGCTGGGATTATAGGCATGAACCACCATGCCTGGCCAGGTATAGTCAAGTAGGTTTTTCATAAGAGAAGTGCAAAAGATCTTGGTGCCCCAGGGATTCTAATATTTGGCATGATGCTCAACTGTTTAGGTGAATGGAAATGTGTAGTACAGTCGCTGGACACCCACACACACTAACTCATTCATTTATTTATTTGTTCAATAAACTTTTTTCAGGCAGCCATTACCATTAATTAAAAGGCTCACCATCAATGTGATAATGATGTTTCAGGAGAAAAGAGACACACTGCAGTGAAGTGAACCCGTGAATTATAAGACACATCTCAATTTCAGAAACATTGAAATTTGCATGTGAGCGTCTTAGAATCAAGGAAAATATGGTATATTCAGGGAATCCTCTAGAAGAAATTCTGCCCTTGAGGAGCTTACAGACTTGCAGCTCTTTGTTCCCAAACAACAATACACAAAGAGAATATGACCAAAGCAGCTAAAAGGTGCTTGACAGCCTCGCTACCCAACCCAAAGTGTGGCCCCCGCCACTGGGGCCTGGCAGCGTGGGCACTTCCTGCAAGCTCATGAGAAATACAGAGTCTCAGGCCACTGAGAGTCACCGAATCTGAACCTGGCTTAACGTGATCCCCAGGGGCTTCCCATGCCCATTAAAATGCTGAAAAGCACTGCATAGGAGCGTAGGAGAGGAAAGAGTCTTCCCAGCTAAGGGCAATCAAGAAAGGCCTCCTGAAAGAGGTGCCATTTGAAAGAGAAGAAAAAGAAGGAGGACCTACATTGTTGAGTATCTGTTCTGGGTTAAGAACTGCACTGGGGCCCTTCACTTCTGTTATTTCATCGAGTCTTCAAAGTTAATCCCCTTACCCCCTCGGTGAGGACTGATATTGCCTTCTTACAGCAAAGGAAACTGAGGCACAGAGAGGTCACATAACTTGCTCAAATTCACACAGCTACTAGGTAACAGAGCCAGGCTTAGAAGCCAAATCTTTCTAACTCTGGAGCCCAATCTCCTCCCCCAAATCACATGTGAAGAACTAAAGGGGCCTGGCACAGTGGGTCATGCCTGTAATCCCAGCACTTTGGGAGGCCGAGGTGGGTGGATTACCTGAGGTCATGAGCTCAAGACCAGCCTGGCCAACATGGCGAAACCCCACCTCTACTAAAAATACAAAAAATTCGCCAGGAGTGATGGCTGATGCCTGTAATCCCAGCTACTTGGGAGGCTGAGGCAGGAGAATTGCTTGAACCTGGGAGGCGGAGGTTGCAGTGAGCTGAGATCGTGCCATTGCACTCCTGCCTGAGCAACAGAGAGAGACTCTATCTCAAAACAACAACAACTAAAGAAGGAACTCTGAGTGGCTGAGGAGGGCGGATCGCTTGAGCCCAGGAGTTCAAGAACAGCCTAGGCAACATGGCGAGACCCCATCTCTACAAAAAAAATTCAAAAATTAGCTGGGCACATGCCTGTAGTCACAGCTACCCGGGAGGCTGAGGTGGGAGGATCTCTTGAGCCCAGAAGGTCAAGGCTGCAGCGAGCCATGATCACACCCCTGCACTCCAGCCTGGGCAACAGAGAGAGACCCTGTCTCAAAAAAAAGAACTGAAGAGGTAGCTATGGAGACAAGAGCCAGGACAGGATGCAACTGAAAGTTGGATGAGCAATTGTTCATTGTGGTCAGCTCCTGAGTGCTGGGGACTTCAGTGAAGTGGGAGCTCAGAGCCAATGGAAGGAGCAAATTCATGGCAGGCAGGCAGGACAGACCACTTACTTCATCTCACCCTGCCCAGTGCCTAGCACACAGTAGGCATTCGAAACTACCCACTGAGACTGCCCTCTCCCTTCTTGACCCCTAGCTCTTCCTCCCCTCCCTCCTTCCCAAAAAACAAAAAAAGAAAGAAACTACCCACTGAAAGAATGAATGAACGAACGAGAGAACGATCAAACTCATAGGATGCCACACGTTCTGTTGTTGCAAACCATCCAACCCAAGCTGGTGGCTGCGCTGTGCCCCAGGGGGCTGGGGTTCCAGCCAGAAACAAGCCAGGCATGGCCCACCCTCCCTGAGGCCTCCCGAATCCCTGCCGTCAGGGAGGTATTGCCAGGAAAGCAAAAAGCCAGGAGCAGCAAAGGTTGAAAACACAGAGAAAGCAGCTCCCACTAAACCCTTCCTTTGCTTCACTTAAAAAATTACTCAGACAGCCTCCTCCCCACGCCTCAGCTCGCTCCACCGTGTCCCCTCCTGGCTCCAGAGCTGCTCTTTCAGCTTCTCATGAATATGTGGAAAATAAAACAGAGTCTGTTCAGCCCCTAATGACCAGGTTTATGAGGAGCTTATTGTATCTAAAGAAACAAGACAGCAGTTGGTGTGAGATATTAATGTGCTTTTTACAAAGCTGATGAAACCTCCTCTTAAACTACTTAATACCTGCAAGCTGCAATTCCCAGCCTGACATGGTAAACTCCTTGAGCCAGAGCTGTGCCAGCCCACGGCACAGCCCTTGGCCTTTCCGCCTCAGCGGGGCCTGAACTCACTCAGCCTGGCGGTTGGTGGGGCACTGCCACTCTTCTGGGATGGAGGTTCCATGGAGAGTCATGGTTGTTGAGCCCCTTAGCTGAATAACCCTTTATAGTTCATGGTGGGAGAGTCTTCCCTGCATCCCCTTTCCTCTGGAAGCTCAAAGCCAATGCCTGAGGGGACAGCGGGCAGTGAGACCCCTGCACTCCACTCCAGCCATCACCCACCCTCACCCTCACCCTCACCCACCCAGCCCTCTGATGGGACCAGTCCTTTTGCAAATCTCCAATCCCACCAATTTGTCACGTCTTTGTACCAGCTGACTCCTCACATAGGATCACCCTTCATCCAGTGGTGTGCTGGTACATGTTTAACAATCAGCTCCCTGGGCTGGAGGTGGGGAACTTGGTTTGTAGCATTTGCCGTGGGTTCCCATGGTGTGAATACACCTACCACGGCTGATTTCAAACTGCTAACGAGAGCTGGGAAGACACTGGTGATGAGCTCCCTTGAGCAGGGGCGAGCCGGCCCGCACACTGCTGGCTTCGGGCCCTCTCTCAAGTCCTGTTACTCCCAACTCTGCTCTGGGAAACCTTCTCCCACCCCCAGGGACAGTGTGTTCCCTCCTATGTCCCGCACTATCCTGACTGCTCTTGCTAGAAAGCCCTTCTCAACCCTCCACCACTTCCTCATCACGCCTACACACACAGACACATGCACACACATAGACACACACACACCCATGCACACAGACTCACATACCCATGTACACACAGAGACACACACAAAGACACATGCACACACAGACACATACATGCACACACACACATATGCAGACTTCATCTCACCCTGCCCAGTGAGCACACAGTAGGCATTCAAAACTACCCACATACAGACACAGACACACACAAACACACATGCACACACAGACACACACATGCACACACACACCCATGTACACACAGGCACAGACACACAAACACCCATGCACACACACACACATGCACACACACACACCGATGTACACACACAGACACACATCCATGCACACAAGACACACACACAGACACACACACCCATGCACGCACACACATACGCACACACACCCATGCACACACAGACACACACACATGCACACACACACAGACACACACACAGACACACACGCGGGCATACACGGACCCCTCCCTGCTTCATCAGGCTGACTTCTCCACTTTGTGTCAGCTCAGGCACCTGCTCCTCCTCAGGAGGCCTTTGTCACCCACACACTCCCTCGCCTGGACACACCTTCCATCTGTGTGCCCCAGACACGCTCCACTCTCCTCTGTCATCACACACATCCTCTACACCACAGCGTGTGTTTTCTGTCTGCCATCATAGACTGCAAGTTCCTTGAGGACAGAAAGTATATTTTTCCCCCTCTGTTCTCAGCAGGTTGCATGGAGCGTGGCATACAATTGGTGCTACATAAATGATAGCTGAACAATTGTGCTGCCATAAGGCCTCATACCTCCTTCTAATATAGTATGTGAAGGATTGCACTCTAGTAAGTTCTGTACTATCTGTCTTTGCCCCTAGAATGTGAGCCTGGAAGGCAGAGATGAGATTAGATTTTCCTCTACCATCCCAGTGCCAGGCACTTGGCCCTTAGTCTCTACCACAGGGACAGAGGGTGCCTAGGAATGAAGCTAGTTGGGAGGAAAGTCAGAGATGGAGAGAGGTTCCAGATTTTGGAGCACCTGGATCCATCTGTGCCTGAAGCCATCACAACCCCTGGGGTGGATTACCACCAACCAGAAGGAAATACAATGGAACCCTAGGCTGGCCTTAGGGAAATGAAATCTCATTCATTTCATCACCACTCACCACTCTCCCCTTACTGGAGTGATGTCTGTTGACGTAGATGTCCTATGAAGTTCAAATTTCACCACTAATGCTTGAGTGCTGCTAGTGCCCCCTCCCCTCCTATACCTCTCCCCAGCACCACCATTAATCAGACTGAATCCAGGGCCCACCGAGCTCCAAGTGCTCCTGGAGACCCTGTGCTCCTCCAGCTGACCCTCACAGCCTCATGGCCACCAGAGGCGTTGGGACCAATCGCACAGTGACCTGTATCCCAGTTTACCCCATCACTCCTCCCTACTCATCACTTGTCCCTCAGGGCTGTGTGTCCTCTGATCTGGCTGGATCTCTAACTCCCCCGCCCTCCTAAATCCTTGCCATGGCACCTTCTAGAATTTAGGTCACAGTGCCAGCAGAATCCCCCCATTCTGTCCTTGCTCTAATGGAAATCTGGCTTTCCCCGAAGGACACCACCGCCCCTGCAAACTCTCACTGTCGAGAGTGTTTTACTGCTCACATCCCAGGCCTCCCTGGGCCTCATCGACATTTCCGGTCCATTTCCCTGCCTCCTCCCTAAACTCCCTGCCTCTGTGAAACACATCCCAGCCTACCTGTCCGACTCCCTCATGGCCGCCGCCATTCAGTCTTTGGGGAGCTGAGCGCTGGCTCACTGCCTTTGCCTCCAATGCTGCTCCCGTTATCATCCTTGCAGATTCCACAACCAGGAAATCAGCCCCTCCAGTCCCTGGCCGTGACCCCTTCACTCCAACCTGATGTGCCGGTGCTGCCTCACTGGTTGTTAAATATTGAAATACTGTTGTACCGATCAGTCTTACTATGTCAGGGAAGCTGGCTGGGGGAAGGGGTGGCTCCTGCATTGGGCGGGGCAGAGAGAAGAGAAGGGCTGGGACCAAGGCTCCATCTCCTCTCCTCGCTCCCCAAGGCTGGGTTAAGGACTCAGCTCTGTTCTCAGGTTCTATAAACTCCAAGGCCCGCCCCAAGGATGGGGGCAAGAGAAGAAGAGTCTCCCTACTGGTCCTGACTGGTGGGACTGGGCTGGGCTGGGCGCACACCACTGCCCTGCCGATGAGAGCCTCTACCCCTCTCACAGCCTCCCACTACCTTCCCATTCCCGGCCCTGACCTCCTGGGGCTGCTGGGCACAGAGAGGTCCTCTAGTCGAACCGTAGAGGACAACTTAGGAGAAGATTCTGCACTCGCCGAGGTGGAATGACCCTTACTCTAACAGGGAAGCTTGGGGAGCATCTGGTGTGGTTTCCTGTGTCAAAGCATGGTCCAGTCAAGCCATCATTTAGCTCATAACAGCCTCATCATCAAAAGATCACACCACTCATTTCTAAAAACCAATCGGTGATTTGGGGCTTATTAGAATAATTTGATGAATCATTTGCACTTCAAATTTTAACCGGGTAGGCAGTTTCTTAATATATACTCGATGTATATAGAAAACAACAGCGAATGTTGTAGTTTTGCCTTATCTATTAATTTGTGTGACCTTTCCAGTGCATACTTGAAGATCATCCCTACCTCTGCCTGCCCCAAGCCACCTCATTCGGGGTCTTACCCTTGCCCTTGGCATTTCCAATATCCACACCCCCTCCACTCTCTGTCTTTTGCATCCCACTCTCTGGCTACCACGTGCCACCGTTGCAGCTCACTCCCATGCACCCCCATTTCAACAATGCTTTGACCCCACCCCAACCCCAGGCTCAAAAGCATTGACTGCCCTCCCCGCTCCACCCCCCACCCCCGCCTTTGCACTGCCTCACTTGCCCTTCAGGACCTCATTTCCCTGTTTACCCAGCTTAGACTCCATATCCATCCTCATAATCCCTCCCATTCCACCCTCTCCCTGTTGCACTCACCTCACAAACCTCCTCCTGGTTAGACGCAACTCTCCAGCTAACTGCACCCATGCCACAAATGTGGCCAGAGAAAACCACAGAATCTCAGAAGTGACCTTCAAGCCACTGACACACACACTTCACAGCCTGGTCCACTGTCTCCCACTCTCGCTTCCCTTCCCCTGTCCTCCCGTCCCCAACCCTTCCTCACTCTCAGTTGATGATCCTGCTTCCCATTTCGTTGGGAAAATAGAAGCAACAGAAGAGAAGTGTTACACCCTCCCACCATGTCTGCCCATCCCCAGCACTGCACCCACGAGCTCTGCTGTCCCTCCTGGCACAGCACCACCCCCCTTGTGCTGTGTCCTGGGCCTCATCTCCTTGCACAGTGCACCTGTATTGCTCCCCCATCTCTGCAGGTCATCCCTTCTGTCCTCCTTTCTTTTACTTTTTTATTTTGATTTTATTTTCAAGACAGAGTCTTGCTCTGTCACCAGACTGGAGTGCAGTGGTGCTATCCTAGCTCACTGCAGCCTCGAACACCTGGGTTCAAGGGATCCTCCTGCCTCAGACTCCCAAGTAAGCTAGGACCACAGACACATACCACCACATCTGGCTAATTTGTTTTTATTTTTTGTAGATATAGGGTCTTGCTATGTTGCCCAGGCTGGTCTTGAACTGCTGGGTTCAAGGGATCCTCCTGCCTCAGCTTCCTAAAGCTAAGGCTGAGCCACTGCCCCCAGCCCCTCCCTTCTTCCCTCTCTACTAGAACATTCCCACTAGTATCATACAGGCTTTAATATCTCCCCCCTTAGGCCGGGCGCGGTGGCTCACGCCTGTAATCCCAGCACTTTGGGAGGCCGAAGCAGGCGGATCACGAGGTCAGGAGATCGAGACCACAGTGAAACCCCGTCTCTACAAATAATACAAAAAAAAAAATTAGCCGGGCGTAGTGGCGGGCGCCTGTAGTTCCAGCTACTCTGGAGGCTGAGGCAGGAGAATGGCGTGAACCCGGGAGGCGGAGCTTGCAGTGAGCCGAGATTGTGCCACTGCACTCCAGCCTGGGTGACAGAGCAAGACACCGTCTCAAAAAAAAAAAATATATCTCCCCCCAACATAGAGCAGCCAGCACTAGCCAGCTAGTGGAGGACACCCCAGTAGCACAGTGCAGGGAGGCAGAAGGAGGTTAGGAGAAAGAGGCAACAGAGGACGTGGTGGGAGTTCAGGCAGCAGGACCAGCATGCATGTGCCACGGTCCTGAGGTAGGAGGGAGCATGGCAGGAAAGAAGGCAGAGATGCACAGGGAGGGAGGAGGTGGGTGGGAGGTGAGGCCAGATGTGGAGGTTGGGGGTCAGGCTTTGTTAGAGATGTTGAGCTTTTCCCCGACAGCACTGGGAAGCTGGAGTGTTTCCGAGCTGGAGGTGGCATGATCAGATTTGCATGTACAAAGGATCACTGTCATAGCTCTGTAGAGAAGGATAAGAGTGGGTGCAAACTGATGAGTGGGGAGGCCGCGGCAGCCATCCAGGGAGCAGGGATGGTGGCCTGGTAGTGGGCGGTGCTGTCTCAGAGACATCAGGCAAGTTTGAGACACTAAGGATCTAATACAGACAGGACGCCCTGATGGATGGAGCCTGCAGGGAGGAGGAAGAGATAGATGTCAGCGCTGACAACTAGGCTCAGGCTTACACAAGGGAACCCTGGAGAAGCATTCGCCAAGCTAACTGGGGCCTCCAGAGTGCCAGGCTAGAGGGAAAGATCAGGAGTTCATGTTCAGTGCCTTTAAAACATCCACCAGGAGATGTCAAATAGGCAGCTGGATACCCAGGTCCAGGCCTCAAGGAGAGGTCTGGGCCACTGATTATCTCGCACGGCCTCTCTGTTAGCATCTCCTGAACCCTGCTTCTGTGCCAGGCACTGCGCTAGGAGCCAATGGTCCAAGGATGAGTGAAGCCCAGGCTTGCACACAAGGAGCAACTAGGCTCCCCGTAGAATGTGAGCTCCTGTTCCTGCGGGGAACAGGAGCGGGTGTGGCCCACCAGGATGCAGCTGGGGCCCTGCTGGGTGAAGCTCTGTCCTCAATTTGTGGGACGCCTCAGGGCATGTCAGTACTGCTCTCTGAGCCTCACTCCTGCACAGATTCTTTATAAAGATGCCTGGCACCGGCTTGCTGAAATATTTGTCAGATTGAATTGAAAGAAAATGAGAGTGCTTTGCGAAGTGCTTTTCAAATACACTGATTTGTAATTTTAACAATAGGGAGAATTTGTTATCCTCTTAGCAGCTGGTATGAAGACTTTTCCCACAGAGAAGGGTGCATGGTTGGATTAGGAAAACAAGGTACTAGGGAGGGGACAAGGCTTCCTTTTAACACCCCAAGATGCAGGAGGGCAGAGGGGCCATGACACGATGGGGGTGGGGACAGCAAAAAGCAGGGAACCCAAAACACTCAGAGAAGACACCTGTCCATGGGACCATTTTGAGTGGCCCTACCAAGCTTCAGTGAAGCGACCAGAAGTCCCGATATGGTCTGGGGAATTGTTTTTCTTGTAGAACTCAAGAAAGTTAGTGAATTTGGTACAGGGATAGCTCATGTGTGAAAGGGAGTTACAGAGATTCCTCTTTTCCATTATATGCAGCATATAATCATAGCCAGAAGTTCCTAAAATGCTTATATTCCTACGTAGTACGTAAGTATCCCTGTATACTATATACCTGTGTACTATTAGGTTGATGCAAAAGTAATTACGGTTTCACTATTACTTTTGATGGCAAAAACCACAGTTGCTTTTGCACCAACCTAATATATAGGTCTATTTTATACACACACACACATATATATATATATGTCTAGGCTGGGCACAGTGGATTATGCCTGTAATCCCAGCACTTTGGGAGGCCAAGGCAGGCAGATCACTTGAAGTCAGGAGTGGGGGACCAGCCTGGCCAACATGGTGAAACCCCATCTCTACTAAAATACAAAAATTAGCTGGGCATGTTGGTATGTGCCTGTAATCCCAGCTACTCAGGAGGCTGACGCAGGAGAATCACTTGAACTTGGGAGTTGGAGGTTGCCGTGAGCCGAGATCACACCACTGCACTCAAGCCTGGGTGACAGAGTGAGACTCCATTTCAGGGGGAAAAAAAAAAAAAAAAGGTATATGTAATAATACCGTAAAATTCCTAATTAATATCTATGACACATACTAGAATCTGCCCCTATTTTATAAGACATAGTCTCAGGACTGTAGAAGAAAATCATTGCCAACATGTATTGAGGGCTGTATTAATTAGGTCACAGTAGCTACTATGTTGGTGGCTGGACACAGTCAAATTTCATTTCTGTCTCACGTCAATGCCCCCAAGGACTTCCTAAATGTGTCAGGCACTGTTCTGACTACTCAACATGCATCAGCTCAGTGAACCTCCACGACAATCTGCCAGGGAAGAATTCTTGTTATCGCCACTCTCAGGTGAGGACACTGAGTGATGCACAGCTGGACCCAGGCAGTCTGGCTGTGCAACCTGCATCTTACCCACTGTGCATACGCCCCAGCATACACCCAATCTTTCTTCCATTCAGAGAAGGTTAAAGGACATTCACTGTGCCTATGCTGGTGCTGGAGATAAGACAGTGAATGAAACAAAGTCTCTGCTGTCAGGAAGCCGATGCTCTGGTGATTGTAGAGTCTGTGCTACTTATCGGTTTTTAGAAAGGCCACATTCAAGAGTTCACGTGCTCATCAGTGAACACTGGGGAGGACCTGCCTGTGACACTGTGCTGGGATTTG